>NC_000012.12:34566711-34719407 GCF_000001405.40 Homo sapiens | reverse complement strand
CTTCGTTGGAAACGGGATTTCTTCATATAATGCTAGACAGAAGAATTCTCAGTAACTTTTTGGTGTTGTGTGTATTCAGCTCACAGAGTTGAACCTTCCTTTAGACAGAGCAGATTTCACACACTCTTTTCGTGGAATGTGAAGGTGGAGATTTCAAGCGCTTTAAGGGCAATGGTAGAAAAGGAAATATCTTCGTCTAAACAGTAGAGAGAATCATTTTCAGAAACTACTTTGTGATGTGTGCGTTCAACTCACAGAGTGTAACCTTTCTTTTCATAGACCAGTTTGGAAACACTCTGTTTCTAAATGTGCAAGTGGATATTTGGACCTCTTGGAGGTCTTCTTTTAAATGGGATTTCTTCATATAACGCTATACAGAAGAATTCTCAGTAACTTCTTTGTGTTGTGTATATTCCACTCAGAGAGTTGAACCTTCGTTTATACAGAGGAGATTTGTTATACACTTTTTGTAGAATTTGCAGTTGGAGTTTTCAAGCGCTCTGAGGCCAAAGTAGAAAAGGAAATATCTTCGTATGAATACTAGACAGAATCATTCACAGAAACTACATTGTGATGTCAGCGTTCAACTCACAGAGTTTAAACTTTCTTTTCATACAGCAGTTTGGAAACACTCTGTTTGTAAACTCTGCAACTGGATACTTGGACTTCTTTGTGTCCTTCGTTGGAAACGGGATTTCTTCATATAATGCTAGACAGAGGAATTCTGATTAACTTCTTTGTGTTGCATTTATTCAACTCACAGAGGTGAACGTTCCTGTAGACAGAGCAGATTTGAAACACTCTTTTTTTTGGAATTTGAATGTGGAGATTTCAAGCGCTTTGAGGCCAATATTAGAAAAGGAAATATCTTCGTATAACAATTAGACAGAATCATTCTCAGAAACTAATTTGTGATGTGTGCATTCAACTCACAGAGTTTAACCTTTCTTTTCATAGAGCAGTTTGGAAACACTCTCTTTGTAAAGTCTGCAAGTGGATATTTGGTCCTCTTTGAGGCCTTCATTGGAATCGGGATTTCTTCATATAACGTTAGACAGAAGAATTCTCAGTAACTTCTTTGTGTTGTGTGTATTCAACTCAGAGAGTTGAATCTTCCTTTAGATAGAGCAGATTTGATACACTCTTTTTGTGGAATTTGCAGGTGGAGATTTCAAACGCTTTGGGGCCAATGGTAGAAGAGGAAATATCTTCATATTAAAACTAGACAGAATCACTCTCAGAAATTACTCTGTGATGTGTGCATTCAACTCAGAGAGTTTAACCTTTCTTTTGATTGAGAAGTTTGGAAACACTCTGTTTGTAAAGTCTGCAAGTGGATATTTGGACCTCTTGGAGGCCTTCTTTGGAAATGGGATTTCTTCATACAACACTATACTGAAGAATTCTCAGTAATTTCTTTGTGTTGTGTGTATTCCACTCACTGAGTTGAGCCTCCCTTAAGACAGAGGAGATTTGATACACTTTTTTGTGGAATTTGCAGGTGGAGATTTCAAGCGCTTTGAGGCCAAAGGTAGAAAAGTAAATATCTTCATATAAAAAGTAGACAGAATCATTCTCAGAAACTACTTTGAGATGTGTTCGTGCAACTCACAGAGTTTAACCTTTCTTTTCATAGAGCAATTTGGAAACAATCTGTAAAGTCTGCAAGTGGATATTTGGACTTCTTTGAGGTCTTCGTTGGAAACGGGATTTCTTCATATAATGCAAGACAGAAGAATTCTCAGTAACTTCTTTGTGTTGTGTGTATTCAACTCACAGAGTTGAACCTTCCTTTAGACAGAGCAGATTTTAAACACTCTTTTTGTTGAATTTGCTGGTGGAGATTTCAAGCGCTTTGAGGCCAAGGATAGAAAAGGAAATATCTTCGTATAAAAACTAAACAGAATCATTCTCAGATACTACTTTTTGATGTGTGCGTTCAACTCACAGAGTTTAACCTTCCTTTTCATAGAGCACTTTGGAAACACTCTGTTTGTAAAGTCTACAAGTGGATATTAGGACCACTTGGAGGCCTTCGTTGGAAACGGGATTTCTTAATATAATGTTAGACAGAAGATACCTCAGTAACTTCTTTGTGTTGTGTGTATTCCTCTCACAGAGTGCAACCTTCTTTTAGACATAGCAGATTTGATACACTCTTTTTGTGGAATTTGCAGTTGGAGATTTGAAGGGCTTTGAGGCCAAGGAAAAGGAAATATCTTCGTATAAAAACTAGACAGAATCGTTCTCAGAAACTACTTTGAGGTGTGTTCGTTCAACTCACAGATTTTAACCTTTCTTTTCATAGAGCAATTTGGAAACACTCTGTACAGTCTGCAAGTGGATATTTGGAACTCTTTGAGGCCTTCATTGGAAATGGTATTTCTTCATATAATGCTAGACAGCAGAATTCTCAGTAACTTCTTTGTGTTGTGTGTATTCAACTCACAGAGTTGAAACTTCCTTTAGACAGAGCAGATTTGAAACACTCTTTTTGTTGAATTTGCTGGTGGAGATTTCAAGCGCTTTGAGGCCAAGGATAGAAAAGGAAATATCTTCATATAAAAACTAGACAGAATCATTCTCAGATACTGCTTTGTGATGTGTGCTTTCAACTCACAGTGTTTAACCTTTCTTTTCATAGAGCAGTTTGGAAACACTCTGTTTGTAAAGTCTGCAAGTGGATATTAGGACCACTTTGAGGCCTTCGTTGGTAACGGGATTTCTTCATATAATGCTAGACGGAGAATTTCTCAGTAACTTCTTTGTGTTGTGTGTATTCAAGTCACAGAGTTGAACCTTCCTTTAGACATAGCAGATTTGATACACTCTTTTTGTGGAATGTGAAGGTGGAGATTTCAAGCGCTTTGAAGCCGATGGTAGAATAGGAAATATCTTCTTTTAAAAGCTAGACAGAATCATTTTACAGAAACTACTTTGTGATGTGTGCATTCAACTCACAGAGTTTAGCCTTTCTTTTCATACAGCAATTTGGAAACACTCTGTTTGTATAGTCTACAAGTGGATATTTGGACCACTTTCAGGCCTTCGTTGGAAACGGGTTTTCTTCATATAATGCCAGACAGAAGTATTCTCAGTAACTTTTTTGTGTTGCATGTATTCAACTCACAGATTTGAACCTTCCTTTCGACAAAGCAGATTTGTTACACTCCTTTTGTGGCATTTGCAGGTGGAGATTTCAAGTGATTTGAGGCCAAGGATTGAAAAGGAAATATCTTTGTATAAAAACTAGACAGAATCATTCTCAGAAACTACTTTGTGAAGTGGGCGTTCAACTCACAGAGTTTAACCTTTCTTTTCATAGAGCACTTTGGAAACACTCTGTTTGTAAGGTCTGCAAGTGAATATTTTGAGCTCTTTGAAGCCTTCGTTGGAAACGGGATTTCTTCATATAATGCTAGACAGAAGAATTCTCAGTAACTTCTTTGTGTTGTGTGTATTCAACTCACAGAGTTGAACCTTCCTTTAGACAGAGCAGATTTGAAACTCTCTTTGTGGAATTTGCAGGTGGAGATTTCAAGCGCTTTGAGGCCAATGGTAGAAAAAGAAATATCTTCGTATAAAAAGTAGACAGAATCATTCTCAGAAACTACTTTGTGATGTGTGCGTTCAACTCACAGAGTTTAACCTTTCCTTTCATACAGCAGTTTGGAAACACTCTGTAAAGTCTGCAAGTGGATATTTGGACCTCTTTGAGGCCTTCGTTGGAAACCGGATTACTTCATATAATCTAGACAGAGGAATTCTCTGTAACTTCTTTGTGTTGTGTGTATTCCACTCACAGAGTTGAACCTTCCGTTAGACAGAGCAGATTTGATACAGTCTTTTTGTGGAATTTGCAGGTTGAGATTTCAAGCGCTTTGAGGCCATTGGTAGAAAAGGAAATATCTTCGTATAACAACTAGACAGAATCATTGTCAGAAACTGCTTTGTGATGAGTGAGTTCAACTCATAGAATTCAAGCTTTGTTTTCATAGAGCAGTTTGGAAACACTCTGTTTGTAAAGTCTGCAAGTGGATATTTGGACCTCTCTGAGGCCTTCTTTGGAAACTGTATTTCTTCATAGAAAACTGGACAGAAGAATTCTCAGTAACTTCTTTGTGATTTGTGTCTTCAACTCTCAGAGTTGAATATTCCTTTCAATAGAGTAGTTTTGAAAACCTCTTTTTTCAGAATTTCCAAGTGTATATTGGAAGTGCTTTGAGGCCTGAGGTAGAAAAAGAAAATATCTTCACATAAAACTTAGACAGATTCATTCTCAGAAACTAGTTTGTGATGTGTGCGTTCAACTCACGGAATTTAACCTTTCTTTAGATAGATAGAGTAGACTTGAAACACTCCTTTTGTAAAGTCTGCAAGGGGATATTTGGACCTCTTTGAGGCATTCATTGGAAACGGGATTTCTCATAAGAAACGAGACAGAAGAATTCTGAGAAACTTCTTTGTGATGTGTGCATTCAACTCACAGTGTTAAAACCTCCTTTTGATAGAGCTGTTTTGAAACACTCTTTTTGTTGAATTTCCAAGTGCATACTCGGAGTGCTTTGAAGCCAACGGTAGAAAAGCAAATATGTTCATATAAGAACTAGACAGACTCATTCTCAGAAACAACTTTGTGATGTGTGCCTTCAACTCAAAGAGTTTAACGTTTCTTTTGATAGAGCAGATTTGAAACACTCTGTTGTTAAATTCTGCAAGTGGATATTTGGACCTATTTGAGGAATTCGTTGGAAATGGGATTTTTCATAATAAATTAGACAGAGGAATTCTGAGAAACTTCTTTGGGATGTGTGCATTCAACTCACAGAGTTAAACCTTCCTTTTTATAGAGCAGTTTTGAAACACTCTTTTTTTTGAATTTCCAAGTGCATATTTGGAGTGCTTTGAAGCCGACGGTAGAAAACCAAATATCTTCATATAAGAACTAGACAGACTCATTCTCATAAACAAGTTTGTGATGTGTGCCTTGAACTCACAGATTTTAATCATTCTTTTCATAGAGCAGATTTGAATCACTCTGTTTTTAAAGTCTGCAAGTGGATATTTGGACCTCTTTGAGGAATTCTTTGGAAATGGGTTTTTTAATAAAAAACTGGACTGAGGAATTCTGAGAAACTTCTTTGGGATGTGTGCATTCAACTCAGAGAGTTAAACCTTCCTTTTGATAGAGCAGTTTTGAAGCACTCTTTTTGTACAATTTCCAAGTGCATATTTGGAGTGCTTTGAAGCTGACGGTAGAAAACCCAATATCTTCATATAAGAACTAGACAGACTCATTCTCAGAAACCGCTTTGTGGTGTGTGCCTTCAACTCACAGAGTTTAACCTTTCTTTTGATAGAGCAGATTTGAAACACTCTGTAAAGTCTGCAAGTGGATATTTTGAAGTATTTGGGGAATTCGTTGGAAAAGGGATTTTTCATAAAAAACTAGACTGAGGAATTCTGAGAAACTTCTTTGGGATATGTGCATTCAACTCACAGCGTTAAACCCTCCTTTTGATAGAGCAGTCTTGAAACACTCTTTTTGTAGAATTTCCAAGTTCATATTTGGAGTGCTTTGAAGCCGATGGTAGAAAATGAAATATCTTCATGTAAGTACTAGGCAGACTCATTCTCAGAAGCCACTTTGTGATGTGTGCGTTCAGCTCACGGAGTTTAACCTTTCTTTTGATAGAGCAGATTTGAAACTCTCTGTTTGGTAAGTCTGCAAGCAGATATTTGGAACTCTTAGGGGCATTCTTTGGAAACGGGATTTTTCATAAAGAACTTGATGGAAGAATTCGACAGAAGAATTCTGAGTAGCTTCTTTGGGATCTGTGCATTTCACTCAGAGAGTTAAAACCTCCTTTTGATAGAGCAGTTTTGAAACACTCTTTTTGTTGAATTTCTAAGTGCATATTAGGAGTGTTTTGAAACTGACTGTAGAAAACAAAATATCTTCATATAAGAACTAGACAGACTCATTCTGAGAAACAACTTTGTGATGTGTGCCTTCAACTCACAGAGTTTAACCTTTCTTTTGATAGAGCAGATTTGTAACACTCTGTTTGTAAAGTCTGCAAGGCGATATTTGGACCTCTAGGAGGAAATCGTTGTAAACGGGATATTTCATAAAAACTAGACAGAGGAATTCTGAGAAACTTCTTTGGGATGTGTGCATTCAACTCACGGAGTTAAACCCTCTTTTTGATAGAGCAGTTTTGAAACACTCTTTTTGTTCAATTTCCAAGTGCATATTTGGATGCTTTGGAACCGACTGTAGAAAACCAAATATCTTCATATAAGAGCTAGACAGACTCATTCTCAGAAACCACTTTGTGATGTGTGCGTTCAACTCACAGAGTTTAACCTTTCTTTTGAGAGAGCAGGTTTGAAACAGTCTTTTTGTGAAATTTGCAAGTGGATATTTAAAGGGTTTTGGTGCCTATGGCAGAAAAGGAAATATCTTCATATAACAACTAGACAGAAGCACTCTCAGAAACTAGTTTGTGATGGGCGCGTTCAACTCACACAGTTGAACCTTTCTTTTGATGGAGCAGTTTTGAAACACTCTGTTTGTAAAGTCTGCAGGTGTATATTTGGACGTCTTTGAGGCATTCTTTGGAAATGGGATTTCTACATATACAACTAGAGAGAAGAATTTTGAGAAACTTCTTTGTGATGTGTGTATTCAACTCACAGAGTTGAACCTTCCTTTCGATAGAGCAGTTTTGAAACACTCTTTTTGTAGAAATTCCCAGTGCATATTTAGAGTGCTTTGAAGCCTACGGTAGAAAATGAAATATCTTCATATAAAAACTAGACAGAATCCTTCTCAGAAACAACTTTGTGTTGTGTGCATTCAACTCACAGAGTTTAACGTTTCTTTTGATAGAGCAGTTTTGTAACACCCTTTTTGTAGAATTTGCAAGCGGGTATTTAGAGGGCTTTGGAACCTATTGTAGAAAAGGAAATACCTTCACACAAAATCTAGACAGTAGCATTCTCAGAAACTACATTGTGATGTTTGCATTCAACTCAGAGAGTTCAACATTCTTTTGATAGAGCAGTTTGGAAACAATATTTTTGTAGAATCTTCAAGTGGATAATTTGACCTCCTTGAGGCCTTCATTGGAAATGGGATTTCTTCATAGAAAACTAGACAGAAGAATTCTCAGAAGCTTCTTTGTGATGTGTGTCTTCAACTCACAGAGTTGAATATTCCTTTCAATAGAGTAGTTTTGAAAACCTCTTTTTTTAGAATTTCCAAGTGGATATTGGAAGCGCTTTGGGGCGTGAGGTAGAAAAAGGAAATATCTTCACATAAAACCTAGACAGATTCATTCTCAGAAACTACATTGTGATGTGTGCATTCAACTCACAGAGTTTAACGTTTCTTTTGATAGAGCAGATTTGAAACACTCTGTAAAGTCTGCAAGGGGATAATTGGACCTCTTTGAGGCATTCGTTGGAAACGGGATTTTTCTTAAAAAACTAGACGGAGGAATTCTGAGAAACTTCTTTGTGATGTGTGCATTCAGCTGACAGAGTTAAACCCTCCTTTTGATAGAGCAGTTTTGAAACACTCTTTTTGTTGAATTTCCAAGTGCATATTTGGAGTGATTTGAAGCCGATGGTGGAAAACCAAATATCTTCATATAAGAACTAGACAGACTCATTCTCAGAAACCGCTTTGTGATGTGTGCCTACAACTCACAGAGTTTAACCTTTCTTTTGATAGAGCAGATTTGAAACACTCTGTTTGTAAAGTCTGCAAGTGGATATTTGGACGTCTTTGAGGAAATCGTTCGAAACGGTATTTTTCATAAAAAACTAGACTGAGGAATTCTGAGAAACTTCTTTGGGATGTGTGCATTCAACTGACAGAGTTAAACCCTCCTTTTGATAGAACAGTTTTGAAACACTCTTTTTGTTGAATTTCCAAGTGCATATTTGCAGTGCTTTGAAGCCGATGGTAGAAAACCAAATATCTTCATATAAAAACGAGACAGAGTTATTCTCAGAAACCACTTTATGATGTGTGCATTCAACTCACAGAGTTTAACCTTTCTTTTGAGAGAGCAGGTTTGAAAGAATCTTTTTGTGAAATTTCCAAGTGGATATTTAAAGGGCTTTTGTGCCTATGGCAGAAAAGGAAATATCTTCATATAACAACTAGACAGAAGCACTCCCAGAAACTAGTTTGTGATGGGCGCGTTCAACTCACACAGTTGAACCTTTCTTTTGATGGAGCAGTTTTGAAACTCTCTGTTTGTAATGTCTGCAGGTGGATATTTGGACGTCTTTGAGGAATTCGTTGGAAACGGGATTTCCACATATACAACAAGAGAGAAGAATTTTGAGAAACTTCTTTGTGATGTGTGTATTCAACTCACAGAGTTGAACCTTCCTTTCAATAGAGGAGTTTTGAAACACTCTTTTTGTAGAAATTCCCAGTGCATATTTAGAGTGCTTCGAAGCCTATGGTAGAAAACGAAATATCTTCATATAAAAAGTAGACAGAATCCTTCTCAGAAAAAACTTTGTGATGTGTGCGCTCAACTCACAGAGTTTAACGTTTCTTTTGATAGAGCAGTTTTGTCACCCCCTTTTTGTAGAATTTGCAAGCGGGTATTTAGAGGGCTTTGGAGCCTATTGTAGAAAAGGAAATACCTTCACACAAAAACTAGACAGTAGCATTCTCAGAAACTACATTGTGATGTTTGCATTCAACTCACAGAGTTCAACATTGCTTTTGATAGAACACTTTGGAAACAATATTTTTGTAGAATCCTCAAGTGGATAATTGGACCTCCTTGAGGCCTTTGTTGGAAACGGGATTTCTTCATAGAAAACTAGACAGAAGAATTCTCAGAAGCTTCTTTGTGATGTGTGTCTTCAACTCACAGAATTGAATATTCCTTTCGATAGAGTAGTTTTGGAAACCTCTTTTCTTAGAATTTCCAAGTGGATATTGGAAGCGCTTTGGGGCCTGAGGTGGAAAAAGAGAAATATCTTCACATAAAACCTAGACAGATTCATTCTCAGAAACTACTTTGTGATGTCTGCGTTCAACTCACAGAGTTTAACCTTTCTTTAGATAGAGCAGATTTGAAACACTCCGTTTGTAAAGTCTGCAAGGGGATATTTTGACCTCTTTGTGGAAATCGTTGGAAACGGGATTTCTCATATAAAAGGAGACAGAAGAGTTATGTGAAACTTCTTTGTGATGAGTTCATTCAACTCACTGAGTTAAACCCTCCTTTTGATAGAGCAGTTTCGAAACACTCTTTTTGTTGAGTTTCCAGGTGCATATTTGGAGTGCTTTTAAGCCGACGGTAGAAAACCGAATATCTTCATGTAAGAACTAGACAGACTCATTCTCAGAAACCACTTTGTGATGTGTGCGTTCAACTCACGGAGTTTAACCTTTCTTTTGATAGAGCTGATTTGAAACACTCTGTTTGTAAAGTCTGCAAGGGTATATTTGGACCTCTTTGAGGCGTTCATTGGAAACGGGATTTTTCATAAAAACTAGACAGAGGAATTCTGAGAAACTTCTTTGTGATGTGTGCATTCAACTCACAGAGTTAAACCCTCCTTTTGATAGAGCAGTTTTGAAACACTCTTTTTGTAGAATTTCCAAGTGCATATTTGGAGTGCTTTGAAGCCGACGGTAGAAAACCAAATATCTTCATAGAAGAACTAGACAGACTCATTCTCAGAAACCGCTTTGTGATGTGTGCCATCAACTCACAGAATTTAACCTTTTTTTTGATAGAGTAGATTTGAAACAGTCTGTTTGTAAAGTCTGCAAGTGGATATTTGGACGTCTTTGAGGAATTCGTTGGAAACAGGATTTTTCATAAAAAACTATAAAGAGGAATTCTGAGAAACTTCTTTGGGATGTGTGCATTCAAATCACAGAGTTACACCCTCCTTTTGATAGAACAGTTTTGAAACACTCTTTTTGTAGAATTTCCAAGTGCATATTTGGAGTGCTTTGAAGCTGACGGTAGAAAACTTCTCTATCAAAAGGAGGGTATAACTCTGTGGGTTGAATGGACACATCCTAAAGAAGTTTCTGAGAATTCTTCTCTCTAGTTTTATATGAAAATCCCGTTTCCAACGAATGCCTCAAAGAGGTCCAAATATCCACTTGCAGACTTTTCAAACAGAGTGTTTCAAATCTGCTCTCACAAAAGAAAGGTTAAACTGTGAGTTGAATGCTCACATCAGAAAGTGGTTTCTGAGAATGAGTCTGTGTAGTTCCTATATGAAGATATTTGGTTTTCTCCCGTCGGCTTCCAAGCAATCCAAATATGCACTTGCAAATACTCCAAAAAGAATATTTCAAAACTGCTGTGTCAAAAGGAGGGTTTAACTCTGTGAGTTGAATGCACACCTCACAAAGAAGTTTCTCAGAATCTTCTGTCTAGTTTTATATGAAAAATCCCTTTCCATACGAATACCTCAAAGAGGTCCAAATATCCACTTGCAGACTTTATAGCCAGATGGCTTCAAATCTGCTCTATCAAAAGAAAAGTTAAAGTCTATGAGTTGAACGCACACATCACAGAGTAGTTTCTGAGAATGAATCTGTCTAGTTTTTATGTGAAGGTATTTCCTTTTCCACCATAGGCCTCCAATTGCTTTAAATATACACTTGGAAATTCTACAAATAGTATGTTTCAAAACTGGTCTATCAAAAGATAATTTGAGCTCTGTGATTTGAAGCACACATCAGAAAGTAGTTTCTGAGAATCATTCTGTCGGTTTTTTATACGAAGATATTTTCTTTTCTACCCCAGGTCTCAAAGCGCTTCAATTATCCACTTGGAAATTCTAAAAAAGAGGATTTCAAAACTCCTCTATCGAAAGGAATGTTCATCTCTGTGAGTTGAATACACACATCACAAAGAAGCTTCTGAGAATTCTTCTGTCTAGTTTTCTATGAAGAAATCCCGTTTCCAACGTAGGCCTCAAGGAGGTCCAAATATCCACTTGAAGGTTCTACAAAAATCTTGTTTCAAAACTGCCCTATCAAAAGGAATTTTGAACTCTGTGAGTTGAATGCAAACATCACAATGTACTTTCTGAGAATGCTACTGTCTAGTTTTGGGTGAAGATATTTCCTTTTTTAAAAAATATGCCCTAAAGCCCTCTAAATAGACGCTTGCAAATTTTACAACAATAGTGCTTCAAAACTGCTCTATTAAAAGAAACTTTAAAGTCTGTGAGTTGAACGCATACATCACAAAGTTGTTTTTGAGAATGATTCTGTCTAGTTTTTACATGAAGATATTTCGTTTTCTACCTTAGGCTTCAAAGCACTCTATATATGCACTTGGCAATTGTGCAAAAGTGTGTTTCAAAACTGCTCTATCGAAAGGAAGGTTCAACTCAGAGTTGAATACACACATCACAAAGAAGTTTCTCAGAATTCTTCTGTGTAGTGTTATATGAACAAATCCCGTTTCCAACGAATGCCTCAAAGAGGTCCAAATATCCACTTGCAGACTTTACAAACAGAGTGTTTCAAAACTGCTCTATCAAAAGAAAAGTTAAACTCTGTGAGTTGAACGCACCCATCACAAAGTAGTTTCTCAGAATGATTCTGTCCTGTGTTTATATGAAAATATTTCGTTTTCTACCATATGCTTCAAAGCACTCTAAATATGCACTTGGAAATTCTAAAAAAAGAGTATTTCAAAACTGTTCTAAAATAAGGAAAGTTCAACTCTGTGAGTTGAATGCACACATCACAAAGAAGTTACTCAGAATTCTTCTGTCTAGTTTTATATGAAGAAATCCCCTTTCCATTGAATGACTCAAAGAGGTCCAAATATCCACTTGCAGACCTTGGAAAGAAAGTGTTTCAAAACTGCTCTATCAAAAGAAAGGTTAAAGTCTGTGAGTTGAACGCCCCCATCACAAAGAAGTTTCAGAGAATGCTTCTGTCTAGTTGTTATATGAAGATATTTCCTTTTCTACCATGGGTCCCAAAGACTTTTAAATATCCACTTGCAAATATTACAAAAACAGTGTTTCAAATCTGCTCTATCAAAAGAAACGTTAAACTCTGTGAATTGATTGCAAACATTACAAAGTTGTGTCTGGGAATGATTCTCTCTAGTTTTTATATGAAGATACTTCGTTTTCTACCATCGGCTTCAAAGCACTCCTAATATGCACTTGGAAATTCTACAAAAAGGGTGTTTCAAAACTGCTCTAGCAAAAGAAGGGTTTAACTCTGTGAGTTGAATGCACACATCACAAAGAAGTTTCTCAGAATTATTCTGTCTAGTTTTATATGAGAAATCCCCTTTCCAAAGAATGCCTCAAAGAGGTCCAAATATCCACTTGCAGACTTTACAAACAGAGTGTTTCAAATCTGCTCTATCAAAAGAAAGGTTAAACTCTGTGAGTTGAACACACACATCACAAAGTAGTTTCTGAGAATGAATCTGTCTAGTTTTTATGTGAAGATATTTCCTTTTCTACCTCAGGCCTCAAAGCACTTCGAATATCCACTTGGAAATTCTAAAAAAAGAGGTTCTCAAAACTTCTCTCTCTAAAGGAATATTCAACCCTGTGAGTTGAAGACACACATCACAAAGAAGCTTCTGAGAATTATTCTGTCTAATTTTCTATGAAGAAATCCATTTCCAAAGAAGGTCTCAAGGAGGGCCAAATATCCACTTGAGGATTCTACAAAAATATTGTTTCCAAACTGCTCTATCAAAAGGAATGTTGAACTCTGTGAGTTGGATGCAAACATCACAATGTAGTTTCTGAAAATGTTACTGTCTAGTTTTTATGTGAAGGTATTTCCTTTTCTACAATAGGCCCCACAGCTATCTAAATACTCGCTTGGAAATTCTACAAAAAGGGTGTTACAAAACTGCTCTATCAAAGGAAATTTAAACTCTGTGAGTTGAATGCACACATCACAAAGTTGTTTCTGAGAAGGATTTTGTCTAGTTTTTATATGAAGATATTTCGTTTTCTACAACAGGCTTCCAAGCACTCTAAATATGCACTTGGAAATTCTACAAAAAGAGTGTTTTGAAACTGCTCTATCAAAAGGAAGGTTCAACTCTGTGAGTTGAATACACACATCACAAAGAAGTTTCTCAAAATTCTTTTCTCTAGTTGTATACGTAGAAATCCCTTTTCCAACGAATGCCTCAAAGACGTCCAAATATCCACCTGCAGACTTTACAAACAGAGTGTTTCAAAACTGCCCTATCAAAAGAAAGGTTCAACTGTGTGAGTTGAACTCACCCACCACAAAGTAGTTTCTGAGAGTGCTTCTGTGTAGTTGTTATATGAAGATATTTCGTTTTCTGCCTTAGGCACCAAAGCCCTTTAAATATCCACTTGCAAATTTCACAAAAAGACTATTTCAAACCTGCTCTCTCAAAAGAAATGTTACACACTGTGAGTTGAATGCACACATCAGAAAGTGGTTCCTAAGAATGAGTCTGTCTAGTTCTTATATGAATATGTTTGGTTTTCTACCGTCGGCTTCAAAGCACTCCAAATATGCACCTGGAAATTCTACAAAAAGAGTGTTTCAAAACTGCTCTATCAAAAGGAGGGTTTAACTCAGTGAGTTGATTGCACTCATCCCAAAGAAGTTTCTCAGAATTCTTCTGTATAGTTTTATATGAGAAATCACTTTTCCAACGAATGTCTCAAACAGGTCCAAATATCCACTTGCAGACTTTACAAACAGAGTGTTTCAAATCTGCTCTATCAAAAGAAAGGTTATACTCTGAGTTGAACGCACACATCGCAAAGTGGTTTCTGAGAATGAGTCTGTCTAGTTTTTATATGAAGATATTTCGTTTTCTACCATTGGCTTCAAATCATTCTAAATATGCAATTGGAAATTCTTCAAAAAGACTGTTTCAAAACTGCTCTATCAAAAGTAAGGTTCAACTCTGAGAGTTGAGTGCACACATCACAAAGAATTCTCTCATAATTCTTCTGTCTAGTTCAATATGAAAAAAAATTCCTTTTCCAACAAATGCCTAAAAGAAGTGAAATATCCACTTGCAGACTTACATACAGAGTGTTTCAAAACTGCTCTATCAAAAGAAATATTAAACTGTGTGAACTGAACGCACACTTCACAACGTTGTTTCTGAGGAAGATTCTGTCTTGTTTTTATATGAAGATATTTCGCTTTCTACCATAGGCTTCAAAGCACTCTACATATGCACTTGGAAATTTTTAAAAAAGAGTGTTTCAAAACTGCTCTATCGAAAGGAAGTTTGAAATCTGTGTGTTGAACACACACGTCACAAAGAAGTTTCTGAGAATTCTTCTGTCTAGTTTTATAGGAAGAAATCCTGTTTCCAATGAATGTCTCAAAGTGGTCCAAATATCCACTTACAGACTTTGCAAACAGAGTGTTTCAAAACTGCTCTATCAAAAGAAAGGTTAAACTCTGTGAGTTGAACGCACACATCACAAACTGGTTTCTGAGAATGAATGTTTCCAGTTATAATATGATATTATTATCATATTATATCTATGATATTATTATCATAGAAGAGGATATAATAAGATATTTCCTCTTCTACCATTGGCTTCAAAGTGCTTTAAATATCCACTTGCCAATCCTACCAAAAGAGTGTTTGAAATCTACTGGATAAAAAGAAAGTTTAAAGTCTGTGAGTTGAACGCACACATTACAATGTAGTTGCTGAGAATCATTCAATCTGTTTTTTATACGAAGATATTTCCTTTTCTACGATAGGCCTCAAAGTGCTTTAATTATCCAATTGGAAATTCTAAAAATTAGTGTTTCAAAACTTCTCTATCGAAAGGAAGGTTCAAATCTGTAAGTTGAATACACACATCAAAAAGTAGTTTCTGAGAATTTTTCTGTCAAGTTTTATATGTAAAATTCCCGTTTCCAACGAATGTCTCAAAGAGGTCCAAATATCCACTTGCAGACTTTACAAACAGAGGGTTTCAAAACTTCTCTATCAAAAGAAAGGGTTAACTCCTTGAGTTGAACGCACACAACACAAACTGGTTTATGAGAATGAATCTGTCTAGTTTTTATATGAAGATTTTCTTTTCCATAATAGACCTCAAAGCGCTTTAATTACCCACTTGGAAATTCAAAAAAAAAGAGGGTTTCAAAACTGCTCTATCGAAAGGAAGTTTCAACACTGTGAGTTGAATGCAAACATCATAAAGAAGTTTCTTAGAATACTTCTGTCAAGTTTTATATGAAGAAATCCCGCTTTGAACGAATGCCTCAAAGAGGTCCAAATATCCACTTGCAGACTTTACAAACAGAGTGTTTCAAAACTGCTCTATCAAAAGAAAGGTTAAACTCTGTGGGTTGAACGCACACATCACAAACTGGTTTCTGAGAATGAATATGTCTGGTTTTTATATGAAGATTTTCCTTTTCTACATTTGGCCTCAAAGCGCTTTAAATAACCACTTGCAAACCCTTCAGAAAGAGTCTTTCAAAACTGCCCTATGAAAAACAAGGTTAAACTCTGTTAGTTGAATGCACACATCACAAACTGGTTTCTGAGAATGAATCTGTCTAGTTTTGATATGAAGATATATCCTCTTCTACCATAGGCCTCAATGTGCTTTAAATATCCACTTCTGAATTCTACATAAAGAGTGTTTCAAATCAGCTGGATAAAAAGAAATGTTAAACACTGTGATTTGAACGCACACATCACAAAGTAATTTCTGAGAAGGATTCTATCTGTTTTTTATACGAAGATATTTTCTTTTCTACTATAGGTCTAAAAGTGCTTTAATTATCCACTTGGAAATTCTAAAAAAATGATTGTTTCAAAACTGCTCTATTGAAAGGAAGTTTCAACTCTGTGAGTTGAATGCCCACATCATAAAGAAGTTTCTTTGAATTCTTCTGTTTAGTTTTATATGAAGAAATCCCGTTTCCAACGAATGTCTCAAAGAGGTCCAAATATCCACTTGCAGACTTTAGAAGCGGAGGTTTTCAAATCTGCTCTATCAAAGGAAAGGTTAAACTCTGTGAGTTGAATTCACCCATCACAAACTGGTTTCTGAGAATGAATCTGTCTAGTTTTTATAAGAAGATTTTCCTTTTCCACAATAGGACTCAAAGCGCTTTAAATATCCACTTGCAAATTATACAAAAAGAGTGTTTCAAAACTGCTCTATCAAAAAAAAAAGGTTAAACTCTGTGAGTTGAACCCACACATCACAAACTGGTTTCTGAGAATGATTTTGTCTAGTTTTTATATGAAGATATTTCCTCTTCTACCATAGGCCTCAAAGTGCTTTAAATATCCACTTGCAAATTCTAGAAAACGAGTGTTTCAAATCTGCTGGATGTAAAGAAAGTTAAACTCTGTGAGTTGAATGCACACATCACAAAGCTGTTTCTGAGAATGATTCTGTCAGGTTTTTATGTGAAGATATTTCATTTTCTACCGTAAGCCTCAAAGCACTTTAAATATCCATTTGGAAATTCTAAAAAAAGAGTGTTTCAAAACTGTTCTATAGAAAGAAAGGTTCAACCCTTTGAGTTGAATACACACATCACAAAGAAGTTTCTGAGAATTCTTCTGTCTAGTTTTATATGAAGAAATCCCATTTCCAACAAAGGCCTCAAGGAGATCAAAATATCCACTTGCAGATTCTACAAGAAGAGTGTTTCAAAACTGCTCTATCAAACGGAATGTTGAGATCTGTGAGTTGAATACAAACATCACAAAGTGGTTTCTGAGAATGCGTCTGTCTAGTTTATATGTGAAGATATTTCCTTTCCTACCATAGGCCCCAAAGCCCTCTAAATACACAGTTGCAAATTCTACAAAAAGAGTGTTTGAAAAGTGCTCTATCAAAAGAAACGTTAAACTCTGTGAGTTGAACGTACACATCACAAAGTAGTTTCTGAGAATGTTTCTCTCTGGTTTTTATAAGAAGATATTTCCTTTTCTACCATAGGCCTCAAAGTGCTTTAAATATCCACTTGGAAATTCTAAAAAAAGAGTGTTTCAAAACTGCTCTATTGAAAGGAAGATCCAAATCTGTGAGTTGAATACACACATCACAAATAAGTTTCTGAGAATTTTTCTGTCTAGTTTTATATGAAGAAATCCCGTTTCCAATGAATGTCTCAAAGAGGTCCATATATCCACTTGCAGACTTTGCAAACAGAGTGTTTCAAAACTGCTTTATCAAAAGAAAGGGTAAACTCTGTAAGTTGAATGCACACATCAGAAACTGGTTTCTGAGAATGAATCTGTCTAGTTTTTATATGAAGATTTTCCTTTTCCATAATAGGCCTCAAAGCGCTTTAAATATCCACTTGTAAATTATACAAAAAGAGTCTTTCAAAACTGCTCTATGAAAAAAAAGCTTAAACTCTGTGAGTTGAATGCCTACATCACAAACTGGTTTCTGAGAATGAATCTGTCTAGTTTTTATATGAAGATATTTCCTCTTCTACCTTAAGCCTCAATGCGCTTTAAATATCCACTTACAAATTCTACAAAAAGAGTGTTTCAAATCTGCTGGATAAAAATAAAGGTTAAACTCTGTGAGTTGAACACACATGTCACAAAGTAGTTTCTGAGAATGATTCTGTCCGGTTTTTATGTGAAGATATTTCCTTTTCTACCATAATCCTCAAAGCACTTTAAAGTTCCACTTGGAAATTCTAAAAAAAGAGTGTTTCAAAACTGCTCTAATGAAAAGGAATTTCAACTCTGTGAGTTGAGTACACACATCACAAAGAAGTTTCTCAGAATTCTTCTGTCTAGTTTTATGTGAAGAAATTCTGTTTCCAACGAAGGCTTCAAGGAGGTCCTAATATCCACTTGCAGATTCTACAAAAACAGTGGTTGAAAACTGCTCTATCAAAAGGAATGTTGAACTCTGAGTTGAATGCAAACATCACAAAGTAGTTTCTGAGAATGCTTCTGTCTAGTTTACATGTGATGATATTTCCTTTTTAACCGAGGCCCCAAAGCCCTCTAAATACATGCTTCCAAATTCTACGAAAAGAGTGTTGCAAAACTGCTCTGTCAAAAGAAATATTAAACTCTGTGAGTTGAACGCAGATATCACAACGTGGTTTCTGAGAATGATTCTCTCTAGTTTTTATATGAAGATATTTCATTTACTACCATAGGCTTCAAAGCACTCTAAATATGCAATTGAAAATTCTAGAAAAAGAGTGTTTCAAAACTGCTCCATCAAAACGAAGGCTCATCTCTGTGAGTTGAATGCACACATCACAAGGAAGTTTCTCAGAATTTTTCTGTCTTGTTTTATAAGAAGAAATCCCATTTCCAACGAATGACTCAAAGAGGTACAATTATCCACTTGCAGACTTTACAAACCGAGTGTTTCAAAACTGTCCTATCAAAAGAAAGGTTAAACTCTGTGAGTTGAACGCACACATCACAAAGTAGTTTCTGAGAATGATTCTGTCTGATTTTTATGTGAAGATATTTCATTTTCTACCATAAGCCTCAAAGCGCTTTAAATATCCACTTGGAAATTCTAAAAAAAGAGTGTTTCAAAACTGTTCTATTGAAAGAAAAGTTCAACTACGTGAGTTGAATACACATATCACAAAGAAGTTTCTGAGAATTCTTCTGTCTAGTTTTATATGAAGAATTCCCATTTCCAACGAAGGCCTCAAGGAGGTCCAAATATCCACTTGCAGAGTCTACAAAAAGAGTGTTTCAAAACTGCTCTATCAAACGGAATGTTGCACTCTGCGAGTTGAATGCAAACATCACAAAGTAGTTTCTGAGAATGCTTCTGTTTAGTTTTTATGTGAAGATATTTCCTTTTCTACCATAGGTCCCAAAGCCCTCTAAATACACGGTTGCAAATTCTACAAAAAGAGTGTTTCAAAACTGCTCTATCAAAAGAAATTTAAACTCTGTGTGTTGAATGCAGACATCACAAAGTAGTTTCTGAGACTGATTCTCTCCAGTTTTTATACGAAGATATTTTCTTTTATACCATAAACCTCACAGCACTTTAATTATCCACTTGGAAATTCTAAAAAAAGATTGTTTCAAAACTGCTCTATTGAAAGGAAGGCTCAACTCTGTGAGATGAATGCACACAACACAAAAAAGTTTCTCAGAATTCTGTCCAGTTTTATATGAAGAAAACCCTTTTCCAACAAATGCCTCAAAGAGGCCAAATATCCACTTGCAGACTTTACAAACAGAGAGTTTCAAAACTGCTCTATCAAAAGAAAAGTTAAGCTTCGTGAGTTGAACGCACACATCACAAACTGGTTTCTGAGAATGAATCTGTCTAGTTTTTATATTAAGATATATCCTCTTCTACCATAGGCCTCAAAGCGCTTTAAATATCCACTTGCAAATTCAACAAAAACAGTGTTTCAAATATGCTGGATCAAAAGAAATGTTAAAATCGGTGAGTTGAACGCACACATCACAAAAAAGTTTCTGAGAATGATTCTGTCTGGTTTTTATATGAAGATATTTCCTTTTCTACCATAAGCCTCAAATCGCTTTAAAGATCCACTTGGAAATTCTAAAAAAAGAGTGTTCCAAAACTACTCTATCGAAAGGAAGCTTCAACTCTGTGAGTTGAAAACACACATCACAAAGAAGTTTCTAAGAATTCTTCTGTCTAGTATTATATGAAGAAACACCGTTTCCAACGAATGCCTCAAGGAGGTCCAAATATCCACTTGCAGATTCTACAAAAAGAGAGTTTTAAAACTGCTCTATCAAAAGGAATGTTGAACTCTGTGAGTTGAATGCAAACATCAAAAAGTAGTTTCTGAGAATGTTTCTGTCAGTTTCTATGTGATGATATTTCCTTTTCTAACATAGGCCCGAAAGCCCTCTAAATACACGCTTCCAAATTCCATAAAAAGCATGTTTCTAAACTGCTCTATCAAAAGAAAGGTTAAACTCTGTGAGTTGAATGCACACATCACAACGTGGTTTCTGAGAATGATTCTGTCTTGTTTTCATATGAAGGCATTTCGTTTTCCACCTTAGGCTTCAAAGCACTCTAAATATACACATTGACATTCTACAAAAAGAGTGTTTCAAAACTGCTCTATCAAAAGGAGGGTTTAACTCTGTGAGTTGAATGCACATATCACAAAGAAGTTTCTGAGAATTCTTCTGTCTAGTTTTATATGAAGAAATCCCGTTTCCAACGAATGCCTCACAGTGGTCCAAATATCCACTTGCAGACTTTACAAACAGAGTGTTCCAAAACTGCTCTATCAAAAGAAGGGTTAAAACTGTGAGCTGAACGCACACTTCACAAACTGATTTCTGAGAATGAATCTGTCTAGTTTTTATATGAAGATACTTCCTCTTCTACCATTGGCCTCAAAGCGCTTTAAATATACAATTGCAAACTCTACAAAAAGAGTGTTTCAAATCTGCTGGATAAAAAGAAAGGTTAAACTCTGTGAGTTGAGCACACACATTACAAAGTAGTTTCTGAGAACGATTCTATCTGTTTTTTATACGAAGATATTTCCTTTTCTACCATAGGCCTCAAAGCGCTTTAGTTATCCACTTGGAAATTCTACAAAAAGAGTGTTTCAAAACTGCCCTTTCAAAATGATGGTTTAACTCTGTGAGTTCAATGCACACATCACAAAGAAGTTTCTTAGAATTCTTCTGTCTAGTTTTATATGAAGAAATCCCGTTTCCAACGAATGTCTCAAAGAGATCCATATATCCACTTGCAGACTTTACAAACAGAGTGCTTCAAAACTGCTCTACCAAAAGAAAGATTAAACTCTGTGAGTTGAACGCACACATTGCAAACTGTTTTCTGAGAATGAATCTGTCTGGTTTTTATATGAAGATTTTCGTTTTCTATAACTGGCCTCAAAGTGCTTTAAATATCCACTTGCCAATTCTTCAAAAAGAGTCTTTCAAAGCTGCTCTATGAAAAAAAGGTTAAACTCTGTGAGTTGAATGCACAGATCACAAAGTGGTTTCTGAGAATGAATCTGTCTAGTTTTTATATGAAGATATTTCCTCCTCTACTGTAGGGCTCAAAGCGCTTTAAATATCCTCTAGCAAATTTTACAAAAAGAGTGTTTCAAATCTGCTGGATTAAAAGAAAGGTTAAACACTGTGAGTTGAATGCACACATCACAAAGTAGTTTCTGAGAATGATTCTATCTGTTTTTCATATGAAGATATTTCCTTTGCTACCGTTGGCCTCAAAGTGCTTTTATTATCCACTTGGAAATTCTAAAAAAAGAGTGTTTCAAAACAGGTCTATCGAAAGGAAGGTTCATCTCTGTGAGTTGAATGCACACATCACAAAGAAGTTTCTCAGAACTCTTCTGTCTAGTTTTATATGTAGAAATCCCGTTTCCAACGAATTCCTCAAAGAGGTCCAAATATCCAGTTGCAGATTTTACAAACAGAGTGTTTCAAAACTGCTGTATCAAAAGGAAAGCTCAACTCTGTGAGTTGAATACACACATCACAAAGAAGTTTCTGGGAATTCTGTCTAGTTTTATATGAAGAAATCCCGTTTCCATCGAAGACCTCAAAGAGGTCCAAATATCCACTTGCATATTCTAAAGAAGAGTGTTTCAAAACTGCTCTATCAAGAGGAATGTTTAATTCTGTGAGTTGAAAACAACCATCACATATTAGTTTCTGAGAATGCTTCTGTCTAGCTTTCATATGAAGATAGTTTTTTTCCTACCATAGGCCTCAAAGCCCTCCAAATACACACTTGGAAATTCTACAAAAAGATAGTTTCAAAATTGCTCTATCAAAAGAAAGGTTAAACTCGGTGAGTTGAATGAACACATCACAAAGAAGTTTCTGAGAATGATTCTGTCTAGTTTTTATATGAAGATATTTCCTTTTCTACCATAGGCCACAAAGCACTTTAGATATCCACTTGCGAATTCTACAAACAGAGTGTTTCAAAACTGCTCTATCAAAAGCAAGTTTCAACTCTGTGAGTGGAGTGCAGATATCACAAAGAAGTTTCTGAGAATACTTCTCTCTACTTTTTAGTGAGGATATTCCCATTTACAAAGAAGGCCTCAAAGTGCTCCAAATATCCACTTGTAGACTTTACAAACAGAGTGCTTCAAAACTGCTCTACCAAAAGAAAGGTTAAACTCTGTGAGTTGAACGCACACATCATGAATTAGTTTCTGAGAATGATTCTGTCTACTTTTTATATTAAGATATTTCCTTTTCTAATATAGGCCTCCAAGCGCTCTCAATAATAACTTGGAAATTCTACAAAAAGAGGGTTTCAAAACTGCTCTATCAAAAGGAAGTTTCAACTCTGTGAGTTTAATACACTCAACACAAAAAGTTTCTGAGAATTCTTCTGTCTAGTTTTATATGAAGAAATCCCGTTTCCAAAGAAGGTCTCAAAGAGGTCCAAATATCCACATGCATATCCTACAAAAAGAGTGTTTAAAAACTGCTCTATCAAAAGGAATGTTCAACTCTGTGAGTTGAATGCAAACATCACAGATCACTTTCTGAGAATGCTTCTGTCTAGCTTTTATGTGAAGATATTTCCTTTTATACCATAGGCCTCAAAGCCCTCCAAATACTCACTTGCAAATTCTACAAAACTAGTGTTTGAAAACTGCTCTATCAAAAGAAAGGTTAAACCCCATGTGTTGAACACACACGTCACAAAGTATTTTCTGAGAATGATTCTGTATGCTTTTTATATGAAGATATTTCCTTTTCTACCTGAGGCCTCAAAGTGCTTCAAATATCCACCTGGAAAATCTAAAAAAAGAGTGTTTCAAAACTTCTCTGTCGACAGGAAGGTTCAACTCAGTGAGTTGAATGCACACATCACAAAGAAGTTTCTGAGAATTCTTCTGTCTAGTTTTATATGAAGAAATCCCGTTTCCAACGAAGGCCTGAAGGAGGTCAAAATATCCACTTGCAGATATAACAAATAGAGTGTTTCAAATCTGTTCTATCACAAGAATGTTGATCTCTGTGAGTTGAATGCAAACATCACAAAGCAGTTTCTGAGAATGCTTCTGTCTAGTTTCTATGTGAAGATATTTCCTTTTCTACCATAAGCTAAAAAGCCCTCAAAATACACACTTGTAAATTCTACAAAATAGTGTTTCAAATCTGCACTATCAAAAGAAAGGTTAAACTCTGTGAGTTGAATGCACACATCACAAAGTGGTTTCTGAGAATAATTCTGTCCAGTTTTATATGAAGATATTTCATTTTCTACCATAGGCTTTAAAGCACTCTAAATATGCACTTGGAAATTCTACAAAAATTGTTTCAAAACTGCTCTATCGAAAGGAATGTTCAACTCTGTGAGTTGAATGTACACATCACAAAGCAGTTTCCAGAATTCTTCTGTCTAGTTTTATATGAAGAAATCCCTTTTCCAAAGAATGGCCCAAAGAGGTCCAAATATCCACTTGCAGAATTTACAAACAGAGTGTTTCAAAACCGCTCTATCAAAAGAAAGGTTAAACTGTGTGAGTTGAACACACACATCACAAAGTAGTTTCTGAGAATGAATCTGTCTAGTTTTTATATGAAGATATTTCCCTTTCTACCATAGGCCTCAAAGCGCTTTAAATATACGCTTGCAAATTCTACAAAAAGAGAGTTTCAAAACAGCTCTATCAAAAGAAATGTTAAAATCTGTGAGTTGAACTCACACATCACAAAGTAGTTTCTGAGAATGATTCTGTCTGGTTTTATTTGAAGATATTTCCTTTTCTACCATAGGCCCCAAAGCGCTTTAAATTTCCACTTGGAAAGTCTAAAAACAGTGTTTCAAAACTTCTCTATCAAAAGGAAGGTTCAACACTGTGAGATGAATACACACATCACAAAGAAGTTTCTGAGAATTCTTCTGTCTAGTTGTATATGAAGAAATCCAGTTTCCAACGAGGGCTTCAAAAAGGTCCAAATATCCACTTACAGGTTCAACAAAGAGTGCTTCAAAACTGCTCTATCAAGAGAAATGTTCAACTCTGTGAGTTGAAGGCAAACATCACAAGGTAGTTTCTGAGAACGCTTCTGTCTAGCTTTTATGTGAAGATACTTCCTTTTCTACCATAGGCCTCAAAGCCCGCCAAATACACACTTGCAAATTCTACAAAAAGACTGTTTCAAAACTGCTCTATCAAAAGAAAGGTAAAACTCTGTGAGTTGAATGCACACATCAAAAAGAAGTTTCTGAGAATGATTCTGTCTAGTTTCTATATGAAGATATTTCCTTTTCTACTATAGGCTTCAAAATGCTCTAAATATGCACTTGGAAATTCTACAGAGAGAGTGTTTCAAAACTGCTCTATCAAAAGAAAGGTTAAACTCTGTGAGTTTAATACACACATCACAAAGTGGTTTCTGAGAATGATTCTGTCTAGTTTTTATACGAAATTATTTCGTTTTCTACTGTAGGCTTCAAAGCACTCTAAATATGCACTTTGAAATTCTACAAAAGGAGTGTTTCAAAACAGCTCTATCAAAAGGAAAGTTCAACTCTGTGAGTTGAGTGCAGACATCACAAAGAACTTTCTGAGAATACTTCTGTCTTCTTTTTATGTGAAGATATTCCCATTTACAAAGAAGGCCTCTAAGCGCTCGAAATATCCACTTGCAGACTTTACAAACAGAGTGTTTCAAAAGTGCTCTATGAAAAGAAAGGTTAAACTCCGTGAGTTGAACCCACACATCACAAAGTAGTTTCTGAGATTGATTTTTGCCTTGTTTTTATATTAAGATATTTCTTTTGTACCATAGGCTTCAAAGTGCTCTAAATATCCACTTGGAAATTCTTCAGAAAGAGTGTTTCAAAACTGCTCTGTCAAAAGGATGGTTCAACTCGGTGAGTTGAATGCACACATCACAAAAAGAATCTGAGAATTCTTCTGTCTAGTTTTTACGTGAAGAAATTCCCGTTTCCAATGAAGGCCTCAAAGAGGTCAAATTATCCACTTGCAGATTCTACAAAAAGACTGTTTCAAAATGCTCTATCAAAAGTAATGTTGAATTCTGCGAGTGGAATGCAAACATCACAAAGGAGTTTCTGAGAATGCTTCTGTCTAGTTTTTATGAAGATATTTCCTTTTCTACATTTGACCTCAAAGCCCTCTAAATACACACTTGCAAATTCTACAGAAAGTGTGTTTCAAAACGGCTCTACCAAAAGGAAAGTTCCGCTCTGTGAGTTGAGTGCAGACATCACAAAGAAGTTTCTGAGAATACTTCTGTCTACTTCTTATGTGAAGATATTAACGTTTCCAAAGAAGGCCTCAAAGCACTCCAAATATCCACTTGCAGGCTTTACAAACAGAGTGTTTCAAAACTGCTCTATCAAAAGAAAGGTTAAACTCTGTGAGTTGAACGCAAACATCACAAAGTAGTTTCTGAGAATGATTCTGTCTAGTTTTTATGTGAAGGTATTTGCTTTTCTAATATAGGCCTCCAAGCGATCTCAATATTAACTTGGAAGTTCTACAGAAAGTGGGTTTCAAAACTGCTCTATTGAAAGGAATGTTCAAATTTGTGGGTTGAATACACACATCACAGAGAAGTTTCTGAGAATTCTTCTGTCTAATTTTATATGAAGATATCCCGTTTCCAACGAAGGCCTCAAAGAGGTCGAAATATCCACCTGCAGATTCTACAAAAAGAGTGTTTCAAAACTGCTCTATCAAACGAAAGGTTAAACTCTGTGAGTTGAACGCACACATCACAAGGTGGTTTCTGAGAATGATTCTGTCTAGTTTTTATATGAAAGAAATTTCGTTTTCTTCCATAGGCTTCAAAGCACTCTAAATATGAACTTGGAAATTCTAGCAAAAGTGTGTTTCAAAACTGCTCTATTGAAAGGAAGCTTCACCTCTGTGAGTTGAATGCACACATCACAAAGAAGTTTCTCAGAATTCTGTCTAGTTTTAAATGAAGAAATCCCGTTTCCAACGAGGGCCACAAAGAGGTCCAAATATCCACGTGCAGACTTTACAAACAGAGTGTTTCAAAACCGCTCTATGAATAGAAAGGTTAAATTGTGTGAGTTGAATGCACACATCACAAAATAGTTTCTGAGAATGATTCTGTCTAGTTTTTATATGAAGTTATTTCCTTTTCTACCATATGCCTTAATGTGCTTTAAAAATCCACTTGCATATTCTACAAAAAGAGTGTTTCAAAACTGCTCTATCAAAAGCAAGTTTCAAGTCTGTGAGTGGAGTGGAGACTTCACAAAGAAGTTTCTGAGAATACTTCTGTCTGCTTTTTATGTGAAGATATTCCCATTTCCAAAGAAGGCCTCAAAGTGCTCCAAATATCCACTTGAAGACTTTACAAACAGAGTGTTTCAAAAGTGTTCTATCAAAAGAAAGGTTAAACTCTGTGAGTTGAACTCACACATAACAATCAAAAGAAAAGTTAAACTCTGTGAGTTGAATGCACACATCACAAATTATTTTCTGAGAATGATTCTGTCTAGTTTTCATATGAAGATATTTCCTTTTCTAATATAGGCCTCCAAGCGCTCTCAATATTAACTTGGAAATTCTACAAAAAGAGTGTTTCAAAGCTGCTCTATCGAAAGGAACTCACAGAGTTGAATACACACATCACAAAGAAGATTCTGAGAATTCTGTCTAGTTTTATATGAAGAAAACCAGTTTCCAACGAAGGCCTCAAAGAGTTCCAAATATCCACTTGCAGATTCTACAAAAAGAGTGTTTTGAAACTGCTCTATGAAGAGGAATGTTCAACTCTGTGAGTTGAATGCTAACATTACAAAGTAGTTTCTAAGCACGCTTCTGTCTAGCTTTTATGTGAAGATACGTCCTTTTCTACCATAGGCCTCAAAGCCCAGAAATACACACTTGCAAATTCTACAAAAAGAGAGTTTCAAAACTGCTCTATCAAAAGAAAGGTTAAATTCGGTGAGTTTAATGAACACATCACAAAGTAGTTTCTGAGAATGATTCTGTCTAGTTTTTATATGAAGATATTTCCTTTTCTACCATAGGCCTCAAAGCGCTTTAAATATCCACTTGCAAATTCTACCAAAAGAGGGTTTCAAAACTGCTCTATGAAAAGGAAGTTTCAACTCTGTGAGTGGAGTGCAGACATCACAAAGAAGTTTCTGAGAATACTTCTGTCTAGCTTTTATGTGAAGATGTTCCCGTTTACAAAAAAGGCCTCAAAGCACTCCAAACTTCCACCTTCAGACTTTACAAACAGACTGTTTCAAAACTGCTCTATCAAAGGAAGGTTAAACTCTGTGAGTTGAATGCACACATCACAAAGCAGTTTCTCTGAAGGATTCTGTCTGTTTTTTGTATTAAGATATTTCCTTTTCTACTATAGGCCTCCAATCGCTCTCAATATTAACTTGGAAATTTTACAAAAAGAGTGTTTCAAAACTGCTCTGTCAAAAGGGAGGTTCAACTCAGTGAGTTGAATGCAGACATCACAAAAAGAATCTGAGAATTCCTCTGTCTAGTTTTTATGTAAAGAAATTCCCGTTTCCAAGGAAGGCCTCAAAGAGGTCCAAACATCCACTTGCAGATTCTACAAAAAGAGTGTTTCAAAAGTGCTCTATCAAAAGGAATGTTGAACTCTCTGAGTTGAATGCAAACATCACAAAGAAGTTTCTGAGAATGGTTCTGTCTAGTTTTTATGTGAAGATATTTCCTTTTCTACTGTTGCCCTCAAAGCCCTCTAAATACACACCTGTAAATCCTACAAAAGGATTGTTTCAAAACTGGTCTATCAAAAGGAAAGTTAAACTCTGTAAGTTGAGTGAAGACATCACAAAGAAGTTTCTGAGAATACTTCTGTCCAATTTTTATGTGAAGATATTAACGTTTCCAAAGAAGCCCTCAAAGCACTCCAAATATCCACTTGCAGGCTTTACAAACAGAGTGTTTCAAAACCGCTCTATCAAAAGAAAGGTTAAACTCAATGAGTTGAATGCACACATCACAAAGTAGTTTCTGAGAATGATTCTGTGTAGTTTTTATGTGAAGATATTTCCTTTTCTACCATAGGTCTCAAAGCTCTTTAAATATCCATTTGCCAATTCTACAAAAAGAGTGCTTCAAAACTGCTCTATCAAAAGGAAGTTTCAAATATGTGAGTGGGTTGCAGACATCACAAAGGAGTTTCTGAGAATACTTCTGTCTACTTTTCATGTGAAGCTATTCCCTCTTCCAAAGAAGTCCTCAAAGCGCTCCAAATATCCACTTGCAGACTTTACAAACAGAGCGTTTCAAAAGTGCTCTATCAAGAGAAAGGTTAAATTCTGTGAGTCTAATGCCCACATCACAAAGTAGTTTCTGAGAATGATTCTGTCCAGCTTTTATATTAAGATATTCGCTTTTGTACCGTAGGCTTCAAAGCGCTCTAAATATCAACTTGGAAATTCTACAAAAAGAGTGTTTCAAAACTGCTCTATCAAAATAAAGGGTAAACTCCGTGAATTGAACACATACTTCACAAAGTAGTTTCTGAGAATGATTTTGTCAATTTTTATATGAAGATATTTCCTTTTCTACCATAGGCCTCAAAGCGCTTTAAATATCCACTTGCAAATACTACAAAAAGAGTGTTTCAAAACCGCTCTATCAAGAGGAAGGTTCAATTCTGTGAGTGGAGTGCAGACATGACAAAGAAGTTTTTGAGAATACTTCTGTCTACTTTTTATGTGAAGATTTTTCCCCTTAAAATAAGGCCTCAAACGCTCCAAATATACACTTGCAGACATTACAAACGGAGTGTTTCAAAACTGCTGTATCAAAAGAAAGGTTAAAGTCTGTGAGTTGAATGCACACATCTCAAAGTAGTTTCTGAGAATGATTCTGTCTAGTTTTTTATTAAGATATTTCCTTTTCTAATATAGACCTCCAAGTGCTCTCAAAATTAACTTGGAAATTCAACAAAAAGAGGGTTTCAAAACTGCTCTATCAAAAGGAAGGTTCACCTCTGTGAGTTGAATACACACATCACAAAGAAGTTTCTGAGAATTCTTGTGTCTAGTTTTATATTAAGAAATCCCATTTCCAACGAAGGCCTCAAAGAGGTCCAAATATCCACATGCAGATTCTACAGAAAGAGTGTTTCAAAACTGCTCTATCAAGGGGAATGTTCAACTCTGTGAGTTGAATGGAAACATCACAAAGTAGTTTCTGAGAATACTTCTGTCTAGCTTTTGTGAAGATATTTCCTTTTCTACCATAGGCCTCAAAGCGGTATAAATATCTACTTGCAAATTTTACAAAAAGAGTGTGTCAAAACTGCTTGATCAAAAGGAAGTTTCAACTCTGTGAGTTGAGTGCAGACATCACAAAGAAGTTTCTGAGAATCCTTCTGTCTACTTTTCATGTGAAGGTATTCCCGTTTCCAAAGAAGGCCTCAAAGCGCTCCAAATATCAACTTGCAGACTTAAAAATAGAGTGCTTCAAAAGTGCTCTATCAAAAGAAAGGTTAAACTCTGTGAGTTGAATGCACACATCACAAAGGAGTTTCTGAGATGGACTCTGTCTTGTTTTTGTATTAAGATATTTCCTTTTGTACCAAAGGCTTCAAAGCGCTCTAAATATCCACTTGGAACTTCTTCAAAAAGAGTGTTTCAAAACTGCTCTGTGAAAAGGAAGGTTCAACTCGGTGACTTGAATGCGCACATCACAAAGAATTTTCTGAGAATTCTTCTGTCTAGTTTTATATGAAGAAACCCTGTTTCCCAAGAAGGCCTCGAAAAGGTGCAAATATCCACTTACAGATTCAACAAAAAGAGTGTTTCAAAACTGCTCTATCAAGAGAAATGTTCAACTCTGTGAGTTGAATGCAAACATCACAAGGTAGTTTCTGAAAATGCTTCTGTCCAGCTTTTATGGAAGATACTTCCTTTTCTACCATAGGCCTCAAAGCCCGCCAAATACACACTTGCAAATTCTACAAAAAGTGTGTTTCAAAACTGCTCTATCAAAAGGAAAGTTCCGCTCTGTGAGTTGAGTGCAGACATCACAAAGAAGTTTCTGAGAATACTTCTGTCTACTTCTTATGTGAAGATATTATCGTTTCCAAAGAAGGCCTCAAAGCACTCCAAATATCCACTTGCAGGCTTTACAAACAGAGTGTTTCAAAACTGCTTTATCAAAAGAAAGGTTAAACTCTGTGAGTTGAACGCACACATCACAAAGTAGTTCCTGAGAATGATTCTGTCTAGTTTTTATGTGAAGATATTTGCTTTTCTAATATAGGCCTCCAAGCGATCTCAATATTAACTTGGAAATTCTACAAAAAGAGTGTTTCAAAAGTGCTCTGTCGAAGGGAAGGTTCAAATCTGTGAGATGAATACACACATCACAAAGAAGTTTCTGAGAATTCTTCTGTCTAGTTTTATATGAAGAAAGCCCGTTTCCAACGAAGGCCTCAAAGCACTCCAAATATCCACTTGCAGGCTTTACAAACAGAGTGTTTCAAAACTGCTCTATCAAAAGAAAGGTTAAACTCTGTGAGTTGAATGCACACATCACAAAGTAGTTTCTGAGAATGATTCTGTCTAGTTTTTATATGAAGGATATTTTGTTTTCTTCTATAGGCTTCAAAGCACTCTAAATATGCACTTGGAAATACAAGCAAAAGAGTGATTCAAAACTGCTCTATTTAAGGGAAGCTTCACCTCTGTGAGTTGAATGCACACATCACAAAGAAGTTTCTCAGAATTCTTCTGTCTAGTTTTAAATGAAGAAATCCCGTTTCCAACGAAGGCCTCAAAGACGTCCAAATATCCACTTGCAGACTTTAAAAACAGAGTGTTTCAAAACTGCTCTATGAATAGAAAGGTTAAACTGTGTGAGTTGAACGCACACATCACAAAGTAGTTTCTGAGAATGATTCTGTCTTTTTATATGAAGATATTTCCTTTTCTACCATATGCCTCAAAGTGCTTTACAAATCCACTTCAAATTCTACAAAAAGAGTGTTTCAAAACTGCTCTATCAAAATCAAGTTTCAAGTCTGTGAGTGGAGTGCAGACTTCACAAAGAAGTTTCGGAGAATACTTCTGTCTACTTTTTACGTGAAGATATTCCCATTTCCAAAGAAGGCCTCAAAGTGCTCCAAATATCCACTTGAAGACTTTACAAACAGAGTGTTTCAAAAGTGCTCTATCAAAAGAAAGTTTAAGCTCTGTGAGTTGAACTCACACATCACAATCAAGAGAAAGGTTAAACTCTGTGAGTTGAATGCACACATCACAAATTATTTTCTGAGAATGATTCTGTCTAGTTTTTATATGAAGATATCTCCTTTTCTAATATAGGCCTCCAAGCGCTCTCAATATTAACTTGGAAATTCTACAAAAAGAGTGTTTCAAAGCTGCTCTATCAAAAGGAACTCACAGAGTTGAATACACACATCACAAAGAAGTTTCTGAGAATGGTTCTGTCTAGTTTTTATGTGAAGATATTTCCTTTTCTACCATTGCCCACAAAGCCCTCTAAATACACACCTGTAAATCCTACAAAAAGATTGTTTCAAAACTGGTCTATCAAAAGGAAAGTTAAACTCTGTGAGTTGAGTGAAGACATCACAAAGAAGTTTCTGAGAATACTTCTGTCCAATTTTTATGTGAATATATTAACGTTTCCAAAGAAGGCCTCAAAGCACTTCAAATATCCACCTGCAGGCTTTTCAAACAGAGTGTTTCAAAACTGCTCTATCAAAAGAAAGTTTAAACTCAATGAGTTGAATGCACACATCATGAAGTAGTTTCTGAGAATGATTCTGTGTAATTTTTATATGAAGATATTTCCTTTTCTACCATAGGCCTCAAAGCTCTTTAAATATCCATTTGCCAATTCTACAAAAAGAGTGTTTCAAAACTGCTCCATCAAAAGGAAGTTTCAACTCTGTGAGTGGAGTGCAGACATCACAAAGGAGTTTCTGAGAATACTTCTGTCTAGCTTTTATGTGAATCTATTCCCTCTTCCAAAGAAGTCCTCAAAGCGCTCCAAATATCCACTTGCAGACTTTACAAACAGAGCGTTTCAAAAGTGTTCTATCAAAAGAAAGGTTAAACTCTGAATTGAACGCCCACATCACAAAGTAGTTTCTGAGAATGATTCTTTCCAGCTTTTATATTAAGATATTTCCTTTTGTGCCATAGGCTTCAAAGCCCTTTAAATATCAACTTGGAAATTCTACAGAAAGAGTGTTTCAAAAGTGCTCAGTAAAAAGGAAGATTCAACTCTCTGAGTTGAATAGACACATCACAAAGAAGTTTGTGAGAATTCTTCTGTCTAGTTTTATATGAAGAAATCCCGTTTCCAATGAAGGCCTCAAAGACGTCCAAATATCCACTTGCTGATTGTACAAAAGGAGTGTTTCAACACTACTCTATCAAAAGGAATGTTGAACTCTGTGAGTTGAATGCAAACATCACAAAGTAGTTTCTGAGAATGCTTCTGTCTAGCTTTTATGTGAAGATACTTCCTTTTCTACCATAGGCCTCAAAGCCTGCCAAATACACACTTGCAAATTCTACAAAAAGAGAGTTTCAAAACTGCTCTATCAAAAGAAAGGGTAAACTCTGTGAGTTGAATCCACACATCACAAAGTAGTTTCTGAGAATGATTCTGTCTAGTTTTTGTATGAAGATATTTCCTTTTCTACCATAGGCCTCAAAGCGCTTTAAATATCCACTTGCAAATACTACAAAAAGATTGTTTCAAAACTGCTCTATCAAAAGGAAGTTTCAACTCTGTGAGTGAAGTGCAGACATGACAAAGAAGTTTTTGAGAATACATCTTTCTATTTTTTATGCGAAGATGTTTGCCCTTACAAAGAAGGCCTCAAAGTGCTCCAAATATCCACTTGCAGACATTACAAACGGAGTGTTTCAAAACTGCTCTATCAAAAGAAAGGTTAAAGTCTGTGAGTTGAACGCACACATCTCAAAGTAGGTTCTGAGATTGAGTCTGTCTTGTTTTTATATTAAGATATTTCCTTTTGTACCATAGGCTTCAAAGCACTCTAAATATCCACATGGAAATCCTACAAAAAGGGTGTTTAAAAAGTGCTCTGACAAAAGGAAGGTTCAACTCAGTGAGTTGAATGCAGATATCACAAAAAGAATCTGAGAATTCTTCTGTCTAGTTTTTATGTGAAGAAATTCCCGTTTCCCAGGAAGGCCTCAAAGAGGTCCAAATATCCACTTGCAGATTCTACAAAAAGAGTGTTTCAAAAGTGCTCTATCGTAAGGAATGTTGAACTCTGTGAGTTGAATGCAAACATCATAAAGAAGTTTCTGAGAATCCTTCTGTCTAGTTTTTATGTGAAGATATTTCCTTTTCTACCGTAGGCCTCAAAGCCCTCTAAATAGACACTTGCAAAATTCCCAAAAGGGGTGTTTCAAAACTGCTCTATCAAAAGCAAGGTTCAACCCTGTGATTTGAATGCACCCAATCCAACAATTTTCTGAGAATTCTTCTAACCAGTTTTTGTGTGAATAAATTCGGGTTTCCAACGAAGGCCTCAAAGAGGTCCAACTATCCACTTGCAGATTCTACAAAAAGAATGTTTCAAAACTGCTCTATCAAAAGAAGTGTTGAGTTCTGTGAGTTTAATGCCCACATCACAAAGTAGTTCCTGAGAATGATTCTGTCTAGTTTTTATATGAAGATATTTCCTTTTCTACCAGTGGCTTCAAAGCGCTCTAAATATCCACTTGGAAATTCTACAAAAACAGTGTTTCAAAACTGCTGTATCTAAAGGAAGGTTCAACTCTGTGAGTTGAAAGCACACATCACAAAAATTTTCTGAGACTTCCTCTGTCTAGTTTTTATGTGAACAAATTCCCGTTTACAACGAAGGCCTCGAAGAGGTCCAAATAACCACTTGCCGATTCTACAAAAAGAGTGTTTCAAAACTGCTCTATCAAAAGGAATGTTGAACTCTGTGAGTTGAATGCAAACATCACAAAGTATTTTCTGAGAATGCTTCTGTCTAGTTTTTATGTGAAGATATTTCCTTTTCTACCATAGGACTCAAACCCAGTAAATAACCACTTGCAGATTATACAAAAAGAGTGTTTCAAAACTGCTCTATCAAAAGTTAAACTCTGTGAGTTGAACGCACAAATCACAAAGTAGTTTCTGAGAATGATTCTGTCTAGCTTTTATATGAAGATATATCCTTTTCTAATAGAGGCCTCCAGGCACTCTAAATATTTACTTGGAAATTCTACAAAAAGAGTGTTTCAAAACTGCTCTATCGAAAGGTAGTTTCAACTCTGTGAGTTGAATGCACACATCACAAAGAAGTTTCTGAGAATTCTTCTGTCTAGTTTTATATGAATATATTCCATTTCCAACGAAGGCCTCAAAGAGGTCCAAATAACTACTTGCAGATTCTACAAAAAGAGAGTTTCAAAACTCCTCTATCAAGAGGAATGTTCAACTCTGTTAGTTGAATGCAAAGATCACAAAGTAGTTACTGAGAATCCTTCTGTCTAGTTTTTATTTGAAGATATTTCCCTTTCTACCGTAGGCCTCAAAGCCCTCTAAATACACACTTGCCAATTCTACAAAAAGAGTGTTTCAAAACTGCTCTATCAAAAGAAAGTTTAAACTCTTTGACTTGAACGCACACATCACAAAGCAGTTTCTGAGAATGATTCTGTCTAGTTTTTATATGAAAATATTTCCTTTTCTACCATAGGCCTCCAAGCACTCTAAATATCCACTTTGAAATTCTACAGAAAGAGTGTTTCAAAACTGCTGTATCGAAAAGAAAGTTCAACTCTGTGAGTTGAATGCACACATCACAAAGAAGTTTCTGAGAATTCTTCTGTCTAGTTTTTATATGAAGAGATTCCCGTTTCCAACGAAGGCCTCAAAGAGGTGTAAATATCCACTTGCAGATCCTACAAAAAGAGTTTTACAAAACTGCTGAATCAAAAGGCATGTTCAACTCTGTGAGCTGAATGCAAACATCACAAAGTAGTTTCTGAGAATAATTCCACGTCGTTTTTCTATGAAGATATTTCCTTTTCAACCATAGGCCACAAGGCGCTCTAAATATAAACCTGCGAATTCCACAAAAAGAGAGTTTCCAAACTGCTCTATCAAGAGGAATGTTCAGCTCTCTGAGTTGAATGCAAACATCACAACGTAGTTTCTGAAAATGCTTCTGTGTAGTTTTTATGTGAAGATATTTACTTTTCTACCATAGGCCGTAAGTCTCTCTAAATATACTTTTGCAAATTCTACAAAAAGTGTGTTTCAAAACTGCTCTATCAAAAAGGAAGATTCAATTCTGTGAGTTGAGTGCAGACGTCACATAGAAGTTTCTGAGAATACTTCTGTCTACTATTTATGTGAAGATACTCCCGTTTCCAAAGAAGGCCTCAAAGCGCTCCAAATATCCACTTGCAGACGTTACAAACAGAGTGTTTCAAAACTGCTCTATCAAGAGAAAGGTGAAATTCTGTGAGTTGAATGCACACATCACAAAGTAGTTTCTGAGAATGCTTCTGTCTAGTTTTTATGTGAAGATATTTCCTTTTCTACCATAGTCCACAAAGCCCTCTAAATACACACTTGCAAATTCTACAAAAAGAGTGCTTCAAAACTGCTCTATCAAAAGAAAGCTTAAACTATGTGAATTGAATGCACACGTCACAAAGTAGTTTCTGAGAATGATTCTGCCTAGTTTTTATATGAAGATATTTGCTTTTCTAGCATAGGACTCAAAGCGCTCTAAATATCCACTTGTAAATTCTACAAAAAGGGTGTTTCAAAACTGCTCTATCAAAAGGAACGTTCAACTCTGTGAGTTGAATAAACACATCACAAAGAAGTTTCAGAGAATTCTTCTGTCTAGTTTTTATATGAAGAAATTCCCGTTTCCAACGGAGGCCTCATAGAGGTCCAAATATCCACTTGCAGATTCTCCAAAATGAGTGTTACAAAACTGCTCTATCAAGGCGAATATTCACCTCTGTGAGTTGAATGCAAACGTCACAAGGAGTTTCTAAGAATGCTTCTGTGTAGTTTTTCTATGAAGATTTCTCCATTTCTACCATAGGCCCCAAAGCGCGCTAAATATCCACTTGCAAATTCTACAAAAAGAGTGTTTCAAAACTGCTGTATGAAAAGGAAGGTTCAGCTCTGTGAGTTGAGTGCAGACATCACAAAGTAGTCGCTGAGAATACGTCTGTCTATTTTTATGTGAAGACATGCCCGTTTCCAAAGAAGGCCTCAAAGCACTCCAAATATCCACTTGCAGATTATACAAGCAGTGTTTCAAAACTGTTCTATCAAAAGAAAAGTTAAACTCTGTGAGTTGAATGCACACATCACAAAGTAGTTTCTGAGAATGATTCTGTCTAGTTTTTATGTGAAGGTATTTACTTTTCTACCATAGGCCCCAAAGCGCTATAAATATCCACTTGCAAATTCTGCAAAAAGAGTTTTTCAAAACTGCTCAACTGAAAGGAATGTTCAACTATGTGAGTTGAATGCATACATCACAAAGATGTTTCTGAGAATTCTTCTGTCTAGTTATTATATGAAGAAATTCCCGTTTCCAACGAAGGCCTCAAAGAGGTCCAAATATCCACTTGCATATTCTACAAAAAGAGGTTTTCAAAACTGCTCTATCAAAAGGAATGCTGAACTCTGTGAGTTGAATGCAAACATCACAAAGTAGTTTCTGAGAATGCTTCTGTCTCGTTTTTATGTGAAGATATTTCCTTTACTACCATAGGCCTCAAAGCCCTCTAAATATACACTTGCAAATTCTACAAAAAGAGTGTTTCAAAACTTCTCTCTCAAAAGAAAGGTTAAACTCTGTAAGTTGAAAGCACACATCACAAAGTAGTTTCTGAGAATTATTCTGTCTAGTTTTTATATGACAATATTTTGTTTTCCACCACAGGCCTCAATGCGCTTTAAATACCCACTTGCATATTCTACAAAAAGACTGTTTCAAAACTTCTCTATCAAAAGGAAGGTTCAACTCCGTGAGTTGAGTGCAGACATCACAAAGAAGTTTCTGAGAATACTTCTGTCTACTCTTTATATGAAGATGTTCATGTTTCCAAATAAGGCCTCAAAGCTCTCCAAATATCCACTTGCTGACTTACAAACAGAGTGTTTCAAAACTGTTCTATCAAAAAAAAGGTTACATGTGTGAGTTGAACGCATGCAACACAAAGTAGTTTCTGAGAATGATTCTGTCTAGTTTTTATATGAAGATACTTAATTTTCTACCATAGGCCTCCAAGCGCTCTAAATATTCACTTTTAAATTCTACAAAGAGTGTTTCAAAACTGCTCTATTGAAAGGAAGGTTCAACTCTGTGAGTTGAATGCACTCATCACAAAGAAGTTCCTGAGAATTCTTCTGTCAAGTTTTGTATGAAGGAATCCCGTTTCCAACAAAACCCTCAATGAGGTCCAAATATCCACTTTAAGATGCTACAAAAAGAGTGTTTCAAAACTGGTCTATCAAGAAGAATGTTCAACTCTGTGAGTTGAATGCAAACATCACAAAGTAGTTTCTGAGAATGCTTCTGTTTAGTTTTTATGTAAAGATATTTCCTTTTCTACCATGGGCCTCAAAGAGCTCTATATATACACTTGCAAATTCTACAAAAAGAGTTTTTCAAAACTCCTCTATCAAAAGAAAGGTTAAATTCTGTGAGTTGAATGCACACATCACAAAGTAGTTTCTGAGAATGATTCTGTCTAGTTTTTCTATGAAGATATTTCCTTATCTACCATAGTCCTCAAAGTGCTCCTAATATCCACTTGGAAATCACACAAAAAGAGTGTTTCAAAACTGCTCTGCAGAAAGGAACATTCAAGTTTGTGAGCTGAATGCACACATCACAAAGATGTTTCTGAGAATTTTTCTGTCTAGTTTTTAGATGAAGAACTTCCCGTTTCCAATGAAGGCCTCAATGAAGTCCAAATATCCACTTGCAGATTCTACAAAAAGAGTGTTTCAAAACTGCTCTATCAAAAGGAATGTTGAACTCTGTGAGTTGAATGGAAACATCAGAAAGTAGTTTCTGAGAATGTTTCTGTCTAGTTTTTATATGAAGATATTTCCTTTTCTACCATAGCCCTTAAAGCCCTCTAAATACACACTTGCAAATTGTACAAAAAGAGTGTTTCAAAACTGCTCTATCAAAAGAAAGCTTAAACTCTGTGAGTTGAATGCACAGATCACAAAGTAGTTTCTGAGAATGATTCTGTCTAGTTTTTCTATGAAGATATTTCCTTTTCTGCCACAGGCCTCCAAGCACTCTAAATATTCACTTGGAAATTATACAAAAAGTGTGTTTCAAAACTGCTCTATTGAAAGGAAGTTTCAACTCTGTGAGTTGAATGCACACATCACAAAGAAGTTTCTAAGAATTCTTCTGTCTAGTTTTTATATGAAGAAATTACCATTTCCAATGAAGGCCTCAAAGAGGTGCAAATATCCACTTGCAGATTCTACAAAAAGAGTGTTACAAAACTGCTCTATCAAAAGGAATGTTGAACTCTGTGAGTTGAATGCAAACATCACAAACTAGTTTCTGAGAATGCTTCTGTGCAGTTTTTCTATGAAGATATTTCCTTTTCTACCATAGGCCCCAAAGCGCTCTAAATATCCACTTGCAAATTCTACAAAAAGAGTGTTTCAAAACTACTCTACCAAAAGGAAGGTTCAACTCTGTCAGTTGAGTGCAGACATCACAACGAAGTTTCTGAGAATACTTCTGTCTACTTCTTATGTGAAGATACTCCCGTTTCCAAAGATGGCCTCAAAGCCCTCCAAATATCCACTTGCAGACTTTACAGAGTGTTTCCAAACTGCTCTGTCAAAAGAAAGTTTAAACTCTGTGAGTTGAACGCAACCATCACAAAGTAGTTTCTGAGAATGATTCTGTCTAGTTTTTATATAAAGATATTTCATTTTCTACCATAGGCCTCAAAGCGCTCTAAATATCCACTTGCAAATTCAACAAAAAGAGTGTTTGAAAACTGCTCTATGAAAAGCAATGTTCAACTGTTTGAGTTTAATGCACACATCACAAAAATTTTCTGAGAATTATTCTGTCTAGTTTTTATGTGAAGAAATTCCCGTTTCCAGTGAAGGCCTCAAAGTATTCCAAATATCCACATGCAGATTCTACAAAAAGAGTGATTCAAAACTGCTCTATCAAAAAGAGTGTTGAACTCTGTGAGTTGAATGCAAACATCACAAAGTAGTTTCTGAGAAAGTTTCTGTCCAGTTTTTATGTGAAGATATTTCCTTTTCTACCATAGGCCTCAAAGCCCTCTAAATACACACTTTCAAATACTACAAAAAGAGGGTTTCAAAACTGCTCTATCAACAGAACGTTTAAACTCTGTGTGTTGAACACAAACCTCACAAAGTAGTTTTTGAGAATGATTCTGTCTGGTTTTTATATGAAGGTATTTCCTTTCCTAACATAGGCCTCCAAGCGCTCTCAATATTCACTTGCAAATTCTACAAAAAGAGTGTTTCAAAACTGCTATATTGAAAGGAATGTTAAACTCTGTGAGTTGAATGCACACATTACCAAGAAGTTTCTGAGAATTCTTCTGTCTAGTTTTTATATGAAGAAATTCCCGTTTCCAAAAAGGCCTCTAAGAGGTACAAATATCCACTTGCAGATTCTTCAAAAAGACTGTTAGAAAACTGCTCTATCAAAAGGAATGTTCAACTATGTGTGTTGAATGCAAACATCACAAAGTAGTTTCTGAGAATGCTTCTGAGTAATTTTTCTATGAAGATATTTGCTTTTCTAACATAGGCCCCAAAACCCTCCAAATATCCACTTGCAAATCCTACAAAAAGAGTGTTTCAAAACTGCTCCATCAAAAGGAAGATTCAACTCTGTGAGTAGAGTGCAGACATCACAAAGTAGTTTCTGAGAATGCTTCTGTCTACTTTTTATGTGAAGATATTTCTTTTTCCACCATAGGTCTCAAATATCTGCTTGCAGATTCTACAAAAAGACTGTTTAAAAACAGCTCACTCAAAAGGAAGTCTCAACTCTGAGAGTTGAATGCACATATCACAAGGAAGTTTCTGAGAATGATTCTGTCTAGTTTTTATGTGAAGATATTTCCTTTTCCACCGAAGGCCTCCAAGCCCTCCAAATGAAAACTTGTAGATTCTAAAAAAGAGTGTTTCAAAACTGCTCTTTCAAAACAAAGGTTCAAGTCTGTGAGTTGAATGCACACATCACTAACCAGTTTCTGAGAATGCTTCTGTCTAGTTTTTATTTGAAGATATCCCATTTCCAACGAAAGCCTCAAAGAGCTCCAAATCTACACAAGCAGATTCTACAAAAGGAGAATTTCAATACTGCTCTATGAAAACAAAAGTTCAACTCTGTGAGTTGAGTGCACACATCACCAAGCAGTTTCTGAGAATGCTTCTGTGTAGTTTTTATGTGAAGATATTTTTTTTCCACCATAGGCCTCATATTGCTCCAAATATCCACTTGCAGATTCTACAAAAAGACTGTTTCAAAACTGCTCTGTCAAAAGGAAAGTTCAACTCTGTGAGTTGAATGCACACATCACAAGGAAGTTTCTGAGAATGCTTCTGTCTAGTTTTTATGTGAAGATATTTCATTTTCCACCGTAGGCCTCAAAGCTCTCCAAATGACCAGTTGTATGTCCTATGAATAGTGTGTTTCAGAACTGCTGTATCAAAAGAAAGGTTCAAATCTGTGAGTTGAATGCACACCTCACAATGCTGTTTCTGAGAATGCTTCTGTCTAGTTTTTATTTGAAGATATCCCATTTCCAACGAATTCCTCAAAGAGCTCCAAATATCCACAAGCAGATTCTACAAAAGGAGAGTTTCAATAGTCCTCTATCAAAAGAAAGGTTCACCTCTGTGAGTTGAATGCACACATCACAAAGAAGTTTCTGAGAATGCTTCTGTCTAGTTTTTATGTAAAGATATTTCCTTTTCCACCACAGGCCTCAAAGCGCTCCAAATGAACACTTGCAGATTCTACAAAAAGAGTGTTTCAAAACTGCTGTATCAATAGAAAGTTTCAACTCTATGAGTTGAATGCACACATCACAAAGAAGTTTCTGAGAATGCTTCTGTCTTGTTTTTATGTGAAGATTTTTTTTCCAACATAGGCCTCAAATCGCTCCAAATATCTGCTTGCAGATTCCAAAAAAGACTGTTTCAAAGCTGCTCTGTCAAAAGGAAAATTCAACTCTGTAAGTTGAAGGCACACATCAGAAAGAAGTTTATGAGAATGCTTCTGTCTAGTTTTTATGTGAAGATATTTCCTTTTCCACCACAGACCTCAAGGTGCACTAAATGAATACTTGCAGTTTCTACAAAAAAGGGTGTTTCAAAACTCCTCTATCAAAAGAAAAGTTCAACTCTGCGAATTTAATGCACACATCACAAAGTAGTTTCTGAGAATTCTTCTAACTAGTTTTTATGTGAAGATATTCCCGTTTACAATGAAGACCTCCAAAATCTCCAAATATCCACTAGCAGATTCTACAAAAGGAGTCTTTGAAAACTCCTCTATCAAAAGGAAGGTTCAACTCTATAAGTTGAGTGCCCACCAACAAAGAAGTTTCTGAGAATGCTTCAGTCTACTTTTCCTGTGAAGTTATTCCCTTTTCCACCATAGGCCTCAAAGCACTCCAAATGAACACTTGCAGATTCTACAAAAAGAGGGTTTCAAAACTGTTCCCTCAAAAAAAGGACTTAACTATGTAAGATGAATGCACACTTCTGAATGAAGTTTCTCAAAACGCTTCTTTCCAGTTTTTATCCGAAGAAATTTCCTTCTTCACCATGGGCTTTTTTTGTGCTACCTAATATTGCTTCACACATTCTGAAAGAACAGTGTTTCCAAACTCCTCAGTCAAAAGGAAGGTTCAACTCTGTGAGATGAATGCACACATCACTAAGAAGTTTCTCAGAAAGCCTCTGTCTAGTTTTTATGTGAAGGTATTTCCTTTTTCACCACAGGCCTCAAAGCGTTCACAAATATCCCTTTGCAGATTCTACAAAAAGACTGTTTCCAAACTGCTCAATTGACAAAAGAAATGTTCAGCTCTGTGGAATGAATACACACATCACAAAGCAGTTTCTCAAAAATCTTCTTTCTAGTTTTTATCTGAAGATATTTCCTTTTTCACCATAGGCCTCAGTGCACTCCCAAATATCACTTTGCAGATTCTACAAAAACAGTGTTTCCAAACTGCTCAATCAAAAGAAAGTTTTAACTGTGTGAGGTGAATGCACACATCAGAAAGCAGTTTGTCAGAAATCTTCTGTCTAGTTCTTCTCTGAAGTTGTTTCCTTTTTCACCATAGTCCTCAATGGCCTCTGAAATATCCCTTGGAAGATACTACAAAAACAGTGTTTCCAAACTTCCATCCAAAGAAGGACTTAACACTATGAGATGAACACACAGATCAGAAAGCAGTTTCTCACAACCCTGCTTTCCTGTTTTCCTGAAGTTGTTTCCTTTTTCACCATAAGCACTTTTTCACTGAATAATATCACTTCTCAGATTGTACAAAAACAGAGTTCCCAAACTGCTCGGGCAAAAGAAAGGTTTAACTCCATGAGATGAATGCACACATCAAAAAGCAGTTTCTCAAAATATTCTTTCTAGTTTTTATCCAAAGATATTTCCTTTTTCAACATTGGACTAATTGTGCATTCAAGTATCCCATTGCAGATTCTATAAAAAGTTTCCAAAAAGCTCAGTCAAAAGAAAAGTTTAACTCTGTGAGATGAAAGCATTCATAACAAAGCAGTTTCTCAAAAATCTGCTTTGTACTTTTTATCCCAAAGATATTTCCTTTTTCACCATAGGCCTCAGTGTGCTCCCAAATATTCCTTTGCAGATTCTACACAAACAGTGTTTCCACACTGCTCAGAAAGAAACTTTTAACTCTGTGAGAAGAATGCACACATAGCAAAGCAGTACTTCAGAGAGCTTCTTTCTAGGTTTTATCTGAAGATATTTCCCTTTTCACCATAGACTTCAATGCTCTCCCAACTATGCCTTCGCAGATTCTGTCAAAACAGTGTTTTCTAACTGCTGAATCAAAGAAAGGTTTAACTCTTGAGATGAAAGCACACATCCCGTAGCAGTTTCTCAGAAAGTTTCTGTCTAGTTGTTCAATGAAGATATTTCCTTTTCCTCCTTAGGCCTTAATGCACTCCAAAATATCCTTTTGCAGATTGTAAAAGAACAGTGTTTCCAAACTGTTCCTTCAAAAGAAGGACTTAATTCTGTGAGATGAATGCACACATCATAAAGAAGTTTCTCATAATGCTTGTTTGCAGTTTTTATCAGAAGATATTTCCTTGTTCACCATAAGCCTTTTTGCACTACATAACATCGCTTTGCAGATTATACAAAAACACTGTTTCCAAACTGCTGAGTCAAAAGAAAAGCTTAACTCTGTGAGATGAATGCATTCATCACATAGCAGTTTCTCAGAAAGCATCTTTTTACTTTTTATCCAAAGATATTTCCTTTTTAATCATAGGCTTCAATGCACTCCCAAATATCCCTTCACAGATTTACAAAAACTGTTTCCAAACTGTTCCATCAAAAGAAGGACTTAACTCTGAGAGATGAAAGCACACATCAGAAAGCAGTTTCTTACAACACTTCTTACCAGTTTGTATCTGAAAATATTTCCTTTTACAGCATAGACATTTTTGCGCTACCTAATATCACTTCACAGATTTTGCAAAAACAGTGTTTCCAAACTCCTCAGTCAAAAGAAAATTTTAACTCTGGGAGTTGAATACCCACATCACAAAGCAGTTTCTCAAAGTACTAGATTGTAGTTTTTATTGGAAGATATTTCCTTTACCCCCATAGGCTTCAATGTGCTCCCAAATATCCCATCACAGATCCTACAAACACACGGTTTCCAAAATGCTTAATCAAAAACATGTTTAACACTGTGAGTTGAATGCACACTTCACAAAGCAGTTACTCAGAAATCATCTTTCTAATTTTTATTCGAAGACATTTCCTTTTTCAGAAAGGTATCAGTGTGCTCAAAAATATTTCCTCGCAGATTCTATAAAAACACTGTTTATGAACTGTTCCATTAAAAGAAGCATTTAACTCTGAGATGAATGCACACACCAGAAAGTAGTTTCTCATAATGCTTCTTCCAGTTTTTATCTGAAGATATTTCCTTGTTCACCATAGGCCTTTTTGTGCTACCAAACATCACTTTGCAGATTATACAAAAACAGTTTTTCCAAACTGATCGGTCAAGAGAAAAGTTTAACTCTGTGAGAAGAATGCAGACATCACAAAGCAGTTTCTCAAAGATCTTCTTTCTAGTTTTTATCTGAAGATATTTCCTTTTTCCTCATAGGCTTCAATGCACTCCCAAATATCCCTTTACAGATTCTACAAAACAGTGTTTCCAAAATGCTCAATCAAAAGAAAGGTTTAACTCCATAAGATCAATGAAAGCAGTCAGAAAGCAGTTTCTCAAAATACTTTTTCTAATTCTTCTCTGAAGATATTTCCTTTGCCACCATAGGCATCTCTGTACTCCTAAATATTCCTTTGTAGATCGTATAAAAACAGAGTTTCCAAACTGTTCCATAAAAGAAGGACTTAACACTGTGAGATGAACAGACACATCAGAAAGCAGTTACTCATAACGCATCTTTCCAGTTATTATCTGAAGATATTTTCTTTTATACCAAAGGCTTTTTTGTGCTGCCTACTATCACTTCACAGATTTTGATAAAAAGTCATTTCCAAAATGCTCAGTCAAAAGAAAGCTTTAACTCTTTGAGATGAATGCACACATCACAAAGCAGTTTCTCAAAAATATTCTTTGAGTTTTTATCTAAAGATATTTCTTTTTTCACCATATGCTTCAAGGTGTTCCCAAATATTCCTTCACAGATTCTACAAAAACAGTGTTTCCAAACTGCTTTATTAAAAGAAAATTTGAACTCTGTGAGATGAATGCACACATCACAAAGCAGTTTCTCTGATAGTTTCCGACTAGTTCTTCTCTGAAGATATTTCCTTTTCCACCATAGGCCTGAATGTACTCCCAAAAATCCCTTCATAGATTCTGTAAAAACAGTGTTTCCAAACTGTTCCATCAAAAGAAGCATTTAAGTCTGAGATGAACGCAGACATCAGAAAGCAGTTTCTAACAATGCTTCTTTCCAGTTTTTTACCTGAAGTTATTTCCTTGTTCACCATAGACCTTTTCGTGCTACAAAACATCACTTCATAGACTATACAAAAAGGGTGTGTCTAAACTGCTCAGTCAAAATAAAGTTTTAACTCTGTGAGATGAATGTATACATCACAAAGAAGTTTCTCAGAAAGCTTCTGACTACTTCTTCTCTGAAGATATTTCCCTTTCCATGATAGGCCTTAATGCACTCCGAAATATAACTTTTCAGATACTACAAACACAGTGTTTCCAAACTGCTGGATCAAAAGAAAGGTTTACCTCTGTGAAATGAACGCAAACATCACAAAGGACTTTCTGAAAATGCTTCTCTCCCATTCTTCTCTGAAGATATTTCCTTTTCCACCACAGGCATCTACTTCTATGTGCTCACAAATATTCCTTCGCAGATTGTACAAAAACAGTGTTTCCAAACTCTTCCATCAAAAGAAGGACTTAACTCAGTGAGATGAACACACACATCAGTAACAGTTTCTCATAAGTCTTCTTTCCAGTTTTTATTGGAAGATAATTCCTTTCTCACCATAGGCTTTTTTTGTGTGTGTGCTACCTAGTATCGCTTCACAGATTACACAGAAATAGTGTTGCCAAACTACTCAGTCAAAAGACAGGTTTAACTCTTTGAGATCAATGCACACATCACAAAGCAGTTTCTCTAAAAGCTTCTTTCTAGTTTTTATCCGAATATATTTCCATTATCACCATAGGCATAAGTGCGTTTTCAAATATCCCATTACAGATTCAACAAAAACAGTTTTTCCAAACTTCTCAATGAAAAGAATCTTTTAAACTTGTGTGAAGAATGCACACGTCTTGAAGCAGTTTCTCAGAAAGCTTCTTTGTAGTTTTTATCCAAAGTTGTTTCCTTTTTCACCATAGGATCAGTGCACTCCCAAATATCACTTTGCAGATTCTACCAAAACTGTGTTTCCAAACTGCTCAATCAGAAGAAAGGTTTAACTCTGTCAGATGAATGCACACATTAGAAAGCAGTTTCTCAAAAACAGTGTGGGCCAAGATGGCTGAATAGGAACAGCTCCAGTCTACAGCTCCCAGCCTGAGTGACGCAGAAGACAGGTGATTTCTGCATTTCCATCTGAGGTACCCGGTTCATCTCACTAGGGAGTGACAGACAGTGGGTGCAGGTCAGTGGGTGTGCGCACCGTGTGCGAGCCAAAGCAGGGTGAGGCATTGCCTCACTTGGGAAGCGCAAGGGGTCAGGGAGTTCCATTTCCTAATCAAAGAAAGGGATGATGGACAGCACCTGGAAAATCGGGATAATCGGGTCACTCCCACCCAAATACTGCGCTTTCCCGACAGGCTTAAAAAATGGCGCACCACGAGATTATATCCCCCACCAGGCTCGGAGGGTTCTACCCCACGGAGTCTCGCTGATTGCTAGCACAGCAGTCTGAGATCAAACAGCAAGGCGGCAGCCAGGCTGGGGGAGGGGTGCCCACCATTGCCCAGGCTTGCTTAGGTAAACAAAGCAGCTGGGAAACTCGAACTGGGTGGAGCCCACCACAGCTCAAGGAGGCCTGCCAGCCTCTGTAGGCTCCACGTCTGGGGACAGGGCACAGACAAACAAAAAGACAGCAGTAACTTCTGCAGACTTTAATGTCCCTGTCTGTCAGCTTTGAAGAGAGCAGTGGTTCTCCCAGCACGCAGCTGGAGATCTGAGAATGGGCAGACTGCCTTCTCAAGTGGGTCTCTGACCCCTGACCCCTGAGCAGCCTAACTGGGAGGCACCCTCCAGCAGGGGCACACTGACACCTCACACTGCAGGGTACTCCAACAGACCTGCAGCTGAGGGTCCTGTCTGTTAGAAGGAAAACTAACAAACAGAAAGGACATCCACACCAAAAACCCATCTGTACATCACCATCATCAAAGACCAAAAGTAGATAAAACTACAAAGATGGGGAAAAAACAGAACAGAAAAACTGGAAACTCTAAAAATCAGAGTGCCTCTCCTCCTCCAAAGGAACGCAGCCCCTCACCAGCAACGGAACAAAGCTGGATGGAGAATGACTTTGACGAGCTGAGAGAAGAAGGCTTCAGACAATCAAATTACTCCGAGCTATGGGAGGACATTCAAACCAAAGGCAAAGAAGTTGAAAACTTTGAAAAAAATTTAGAAGAATGTATAACTAGAATAACCAATACAGAGAAGTGCTTAAAGGAGCTGATGGAGCTGAAAACCAAGGCTAGAGAACTACGTGAAGAATGCAGAAGCCTCAGGAGCTGATGTGATCAACTGGAAGAAAGGATATCAGCAGTGGAAGATGAAATGAATGAAATGAAGTGAGAAGGAAAGTTTAGAGAAAAAAGAATAAAAAGAAACGAGCAAAGCCTCCAAGAAATATGGGATTATATGAAAATACCAAATCTACGTCTGATTGGTGTACCTGAAAGTGATGGGGAGAATGGAAGCAAGTTGGAAAACACTCTGCAGGATATTATCCAGGAGAATTTCCCCAATCTAGCAAGACAGGCCAACATTCAGATTCAGGAAATACAGAGAACGCCACAAAGACACTCCTCGAGAAGAGCAACTCCAAGACACATAATTGTCAGATTCACCAAAGTTGAAATGAAGGAAAAAATGTTAAGGGCAGCCAGAGAGAAAGGTCGGGTTACCCACAAAGGGAAGCCCATCAGACTAAGGGCGGATCTCTCGGCAGAAACTCTACAAGCCAGAAGAGAGTGGGGACCAACATTCAATATTCTTAAAGAAAAGAATTTTCAACCCGGAATTTCATATCCAGCCAAACTAAGCTTCATAAGTGAAGGAGAAATAAAATCCTTTACAGACAAGCAAATGCTGAGAGATTGTGTCACCACCAGGCCTGCCCTAAAAGAGCTCCTGAAGGAAGCGCTAAGCATGGAAAGGAACAACTGGTACCAGCTGCTGCAAAAACATGCCAAAATGTAAAGACCATCGAGACTAGGAAGAAACTGCATCAACTAATGAGCAAAATAACCAGCTAACATCATAATGACAGGATCAAATTCACACATAACAATATTAACTTTAAATGTAAATGGACTAAATGCTCCAATTAAAAGACACAGACTGGCAAATTGGATAAAGAGTCAAGACCCATCAGTGTGCTGTATTCAGGAAACCCATCTCATGTGCAGAGACACACATAAGCTCAAAATAAAAGAATGGAGGAAGATCTACCAAGCAAATGGAAAACAAAAAAAGGCAGGGGTTGCCATCCTAGTCTCTGATAAAACAGACTTTAAACCAACAAAGATCAAAAGAGACAAAGAAGGCTATTACATAATGGTAAAGGGATCAATTCAAAAAGAAGAGCTAACTATCCTAAATATATATGCACCCAATACAGGAGCACCCAGATTCATAAAGCAAGTCCTGAGTGACCTACAAAGAGACTTAGACTCCCACACATTAATAATGGGAGACTTTAACACTCCACTGTCAACATTAGACAGATCAACGAGACAGAAAGTCAACAAGCATACACAGGAATTGAACTCAGCTCTGCACCAAGCGGACCTCATAGACATCTACAGAACTCTCCACCCCAAATCAACAGAATATACATTTTTTCAGCACCACACCACACCTATTCCAAAATTGACCACATAGTTGGAAGTAAAGCTCTCCTCAGCAAATATAAAAGAACAGAAATTATAACAAACTATCTCTCAGACCACAGTGTGATCAAACTAGAACTCAGGATTAAGAATCTCACTCAAAACTGCTCAACTACATGGAAACTGAACAACCTGCTCCTGAATGACTACTGGGTACATAACGAAAAGAAGGCAGACATAAAGATGTTCTTTGAAACCAACGAGAACAAAGACACAACATACCAGAATCTCTGGGACGCATTCAAAGCAGTGTGTAGAGGGAAATTTATAGCACTAAATGCCCACAAGAGGAAGCAGGAAAGATCCAAAATTGACACCCTAACATCACAATTAAAAGAACTAGAAAAGCAAGAGCAAACACATTCAAAAGCTAGCAGAAGGCAAGAAATAACTAAAATCAGAGCAGAACTGAAGGAAATAGAGACACAAAAAACCCTTCAAAAAATTAATGAATCCAGGAGCTGGTTTTTTGAAAGGATCAACAAAATTGATAGACCGCTAGCAAGACTAATAAAGAAAAAAAGAGAGAAGAATCAAATAGATGCAATAAAAAATGATAAAGGGGATATCACCACCGATCCCACAGAAATACAAACTACCATCAGAGAATACTACAAACACCTCTACGCAAATAAACTAGAAAATCTAGAAGAAATGGATAAATTCCTCGACACATACACTCTCCCAAGACTAAACCAGGAAGAAGTTGAATCTCTGAATAGACCAATAACAGGATCTGAAATTGTGGCAATAATCAATAGCTTACCAACCAAAAAGAGTCCAGGACCAGATGGATTCACAGCCAAATTCTACCAGAGGTACAAGGAGGAACAGGTACCATTCCTTCTGAAACTATTCCAATCAATAGAAAAAGAGGGAACCCTCTTTAACTCATTTTATGAGGCCAGCATCATCCTGATACCAAAGTCTGGCAGAGACACAACCAAAAAAGAGAATTTTAGACCAATATCCTTGATGAACATTGATGCAAAAATCCTCAATAAAATACTGGCAAAGAGAATCCAGCAGCACATCATAAAGCTTATCCACCATGATCAAGTGGGCTTCATCCCTGGGATGCAAGTCTAGTTCAATATACGCAAATCAAATGTAATCCAGCATATAAACACAGCCACAGACAAAAACCACATGATTATCTGAATAGATGCAGAAAACGCCTTTGACAAAATTCAACAACGTTTCATGCTAAAAACTCTCAATAAATTAGGTATTGATGGGACGTGTTTCAAAATAAAAAGAGCTATCTATGACAAACCCACAGCCAATATCATATTGAATGGGCAAAAACTGGAAGCATTCCCTTTGAAAACTGGCACAAGACAGGGATGCCCTCTCTCACCACTCCTATTCAACATAGTGTTGGAAGTTCTGGCCAGGGCAATTAAGCAGGGGAAGGAAATAAAGAGTATTCAATTAGGAAAAGAGGAAGTCAAATTGTCCCTGTTTGCAGACGACATGATTGTATATCTAGAAAACCCCATCATCTCAGCCCAAAATCTCCTTAAGCTGATAAGCAACTTCAGCAAAGTCTCAGGATACAAAATCAATGTACAAAAATCACAAGCATTCTTATACACCAACAACAGACAAACAGAGAGCCAAATCGTGAGTGAACTCCCATTCACAATTGCTTCAAAGAGAATAAAATACCTAGGAATCCAACTTACAAGGGACATGAAGGACCTCTTCAAGGAGAACTACAAACCACTGCTCAAGGAAATAAAAGAGGATACAAACAAATGGAAGAACATTCCATGCTCATGGGTAGGAAGAATCAATCTCGTGAAAATGGCCATTCTGCCCAAGGTAATTTACAGATTCAATACCATCCCCATCAAGCTATCAATGACTTTCTTCACAGAATTGGAAAAAACTACTTTAAAGTTCAGATGGAACCAAAAAAGAGCCCGCATTGCCAAGGCAATCCTAAGCGAAAAGAACAAAGCTGGAGGCATCACGCTACCTGACTTCAAACTGTACTACCAGGCTACAGTAACCAAAACAGCATGGTACTGGTACCAAAACAGAGATATAGATCAATGGAACAGAACAGAGCCCTCAGAAATAATGCCACATATCTACAACTATCTGATCTTTGACAAACCTGAGAAAAACAAGCAATGGGGAAAGGATTCCCTATTTAATAAATGTTGCTGGGAAAACTGGCTAGCCATATGTAGAGAGCTGAAACTGGATCCCTTCCTTATACCTTATACAAAAATCAATTCGAGATGGATTAAAGACTTAAACTTTCGACCTAAAACCATAAAAACCCTAGAAGAAAACCTAGGCATTACCATTCAGGACATAGGCATGGGCAAGTACTTCATGTCTAAAACACCAGAAGCAATGGCAACCAAAGTGAAAATTGACAAATGGGATCTAATTAAACTAAAGAGCTTCTTCACAGCAAAAGAAACTACCATCAGAGTGAACAGGCAACCTACAGAATGGGAGAAAATTTTCACAACCTACTCATCTGACAAAGGGCTAATATCCAGAATCTACAATGAACTCAAACAAATTTGCAAGAAAAAAAAAAACCCATCAAAAAGTGGGCAAAGGACATGAACAGACACTTCTCAAAGAATACATTTATGCAGCCAAGAAACACATGAAAAAATGCTCACCATCACTTGCCGTCAGAGAAATGCAAATCAAAACCACAATGAGACACCATCTCACACCAGTTAGAATGGCAATCATTAAAATGTCAGGAAACAACAGGTGCTGGAGGTGTCGTGGAGAAATAGAGCACTTTTACACTGTTGGTGGGACTGTAAACTAGTTCAACCATTGTGGAAGTCAGTGTGGCGATTCCTCAGGGATCTAGAACTAGAAATACCATTTGACCCAGCCATCCCATTACTGGGTATATACCCAAAGGACTATAAATCATGCTGCTATAAAGACACATGCACACGTATGTTTATTGCTGCATTATTCACAATAGCAAAGACTTGGAACCAACCCAAATGTCCAACAATGATAGACTGGATTAAGAGAATGTGGCACATATACACCATGGACTACTACACAGCCATAAAAAATGATGAGTTCATGTCCTTTGTAGGGACATGGATGAAATTGGAAATCATCATTCTCAGTAAACTATCGCAAGAACAAAAAACCAAACACCGCATATTCTCACTCATATGTGGGAACTGAACAATGAGATCACATGGACACAGGAAGGGGAATATCACACTCTGGGTACTGTTGTGGGGTGGGGGGAGGGGGGAGGGATAGCATTGGCAGATATACCTAATGCTAGATGACGAGTTAGTGGGTGCAGCGCACCAGCATGGCACATGTATACATACGTAACTAACCTGAACATTGTGCACATGTACCCTAAAACTTAAAGTATAATAATAATAAATGAAAAAAAGAAAAAATATCCCTTCACAGATTATAAAAAAACCGTGTATCCAAACTGTCCCACAAAAAGAAAGACTTAACTCCATGAGGTGAGTGCACACATCAGAAAGTAATTCCTCATAACGCTTCTTTTCAGTTTTTATCTTTATATTTTATCAGATATTTCCTTTGTCTCCATAGGCTTTGTTGCGGTACCTAATATTGCTTCACAGATTTTGCAAAAGCAAGATTTCCAAAGTGCTTAGTCAAAAGAATGGGTTAACTCTGTGAGATGAATGCATACATCAGAAAGCAGTTTCGCAAAAACCTCCTTTCTAGTTTTTATCTGATGTTATTTTATCACCATAGGCTTCAATGTGTTCCCAAAAATCCCGTTGCAGACTTTACAAAAACACTGTTTCTAAACTGCTCAATCAAAAAACACCTTTTACTCTGTGAGTTCAATGCACACATCACAAAGCAGTTTCTCAAAAAGCTTCCTACTTGTTTTTATCCTAAAATATTTCCTTTATCACCATAGGTGCCAGTGTGCTCTGAAATATACCTCTGCAGATTCTACAAAAACAGTGTTTCCAATCTGCTCAATCAAAAGAAAGATTGAATTCTGTCAAATGAATGCACACATCACAAAGCAGTTTTTCAGACAACTTCTGTCTAGTTTTGTCTAAAGATATTTCCTTTTCCACCAGAGGCCTCTTTGTGCTCCCAAATATCCCTTCGCAGATTTTATAAAAACAGTGTATCTGAACTGTTCCATCAACAGAAGGATTTAACTGTTTGAGATGAATGCACACATCAGAAAGTAGCTTCTCATAATGCTTCTTTCCAGTTTTTATCTGAAGATATTTACTCGTTCACAATAGGTCTTTTTGCGTTACTTATCATCACTTCACAGATTATACAAAAACAGTGTTTCCAAACTGCTGAGTAAAAAGAAAAGTAGAAATCTGTGAGATGAATACATCCATCACAAAACAGTTTCTCGAACAGCTTCTTTGTTTTTTATCTGAAGATATTTCCTTTTTCACCATATGTATCAGTGTTCTCCCAAATATCCCTTTGCAGATTCTACAAATACAGTGTTTCCAAACTCCTCAATCAAAAGAAACGTTTAACTCTTTGAGCAGAATGCACACATCACAAAACGGTTTCTCAGAAAGCTTTTTTCTAGTCTTAATCTGAAGTTATTTCCTTTTCACCATAGGCCTTGTGTGCTCCCAAACATCCCTTTGCAGATTGTAGAAAAACAGTGTTTCCAATCTGATTGATCAAAAGAAAGATTTAACTCTGTGAGATGAATGCACACATCACAAAGCAGTTTCTCAAAAAGCTTCTTTCTAGTTTTTATCTGAAGATGTTTCCTTTTTCACCATAGGCATCAGAATGCTCCCAAGTACCCTTTGCAGATTCTACAAAAACAGTGTTTCCAAACTGCTCATTCAAAAGAAATGCTTAATCAGTGAGAAGAATACACACATTACAAAGAGTTTTCTCAGAAAGCTTCTTTCTAGTTTTTATCTGAAGTTACATCCTTTTTCACTGTAAGCCTTGTGCACTCCCAAGTATCCCTTTGCAGGTCTACAAAAACAGTGTTTTCATACTGATCAATCAAAAGAAAGTTTTAACTCTGTGAGTTGAATGCATAAGCAGTTTCTCAAAAAGCTTCTTTCTAGTTTTTATCTGAAGATATTTCCTTTTTCAACATTATCTTCAATATGTTCCCAAATATCCTTTCACAGATTCTACAAATCCAGTTTTTCCAAACTGCTCAATCAAAAGAAAATTTGAACTCTGTGAGATGAATGCACACATTACACATCAGTTTCTCACAAAACTTCTGTCTAGGTCTTCTCTAAAGTTATTTCCTTTTCCACCATAGTTCTCATTGTGCTCCCAAATATCCCTTCGAAGATTCTACAAAAACAATGTTTCCAAACTGTTTAATACAAAGGAAGACTTAACACTGTGAGCTAAATGCACATATCAGAAAGCAATTTCTCATAACACTTCTTTCACAGTTTTTATCTGAAGATATTTCCTTTTTCACCATAGGCATTTTTGAGCTACCTAATATGGCTTTTTTATTTTTTTGCTAAAATAGTGTTTCCACACTGCTCACTTAAATGAAATGTTTAACTCTGTGAGATGAAGGTACACATCACAAAGCAGTTTCTCAGATAGCTTCTGTCTAGTTCTTCTCTGAAGACATTTCCTTTTCCACCACAGGCCTCAATGTGTTTCAAAATATCACTTCGCACATTCTATAAAAACAGTGTTTCTGAACTGTTCCATCACAAGAAGGATTTAACTTTCTGAGAAGAATGCACACATCAGTAAGCAGTTTCTCCTAACACTTCTTTTCAGTTTTTATAAGAAGATATTTCCTTATTCACCACAGGCCTTTTTGTGCTACCTAACACCGCTTTGAAGATTATACAAAAACAGTTTGGACAAACTGCTCAGTCAAAAAAAAGAGTAACTCTGTGAGATGAATGCATACATCACAAAGCGGTTTCTCAGAAAAGTTCCTTCTAGTTTTTATCTGAATATATTTCCTTTTTCCCCATAGGCTTCAATGCACTCCCAAATAAACTTTCACAGACTCTACAAAAAAATTGCTTCCAAACTGTTCAAAGAAAAGAAAGGTTTAACTCTGTGAGATGAATGCACACTTCACAAAGCAGTTTCCCAGAAAGCTTCTGTCTAGTTCTTTGAAGATATTTCCTTTTCCACCATAAGCCTCAATACACTCCCAAATGTCCCTTCACAGATTTGACAAAAACAGTGTTTCCAAACTGTTCCATCAAAAGAAGGATTTAACTCTGTAAGATGAATGCACACATCAGAAAGTAGTTTCTCATAACTCTACTTTCCAGGTTTTATCTGAAGATATTTCCTTGTTCACCATAGGCTTTTCTGTGCTACAAAATATCATTTTGTAGATTTTGCAAAAAGTTTTTCCAAACTGCTCAGTCAAAAGAAAGGTTTAACTCTGTGAGAAGAATGCATACATCATAAAGCAGTTTCTCAGAAAAATCTTTCTAGTTTTTATCAGAAGTTATTTCCTTTTCCAGCATAGGTCTCTTGCACTCCCAAATATCTCAGTACAGATTCTCCAAAAAATTATTTCCTAACTGATCACTTCACAAAGAAGTTTCTCAGGAAACTTCTTTCTAGTTTTTAACTGAAGATATCATTTTTTCACCATAAGCATAAAAGGGCTCAGTGATATCCGTTTGCAGATTCTACAAAAATTTGTTTCCAAACTGCTCAATCAAAAAACAGTTTTGCTCTCTGAGGTGTAGGCACACATCACAAAGCAGTTTCTCATAAAGCTCCTCTCTAGTTTGTATCAGAAGATATTTCCTTTTTCACAATAGGCCTCAAAGCCCTCCCATATGTCCCTTTGTACATACTAAAAACACAGTTTCCAAACTGCTCAACCAAGAGCATGGTTTAACTCTGTGAAATAAATGCACACATCACAAAGCAGCCTCTCAGAAAGCTTCCTGTTAGTTTTTATGTGGAGATTTTTTGTTTACTGGAAAAATCAATGGGCTCCCGAATACCCACTTCTGTAATCTACAAAAACAGTGTTTAAAAACTGTTCAATCCAAAGAAAAGTTTACCTTTGTGACATGAAAGCACAGATCACAAAGCAGTTTCACAGATATTTTTCTAATTCTCATGTGAAGCTATTTCCTTTTTCATTTTAAGACTCAAATGGCTCCCCAATATCCCTTTGCACATTCTGCAAAACAGTGTTTCCAAACTGCTCAATCAGAAAAATGGTTTAGCTCTGTGAGGTGCAGGCACACATCACAAAGCAGTTTCCCATATAGCTCCTGTCTAGTTTGTAACAGTAGATATTTCCCTTCCCACAAAGGCCTCAATGTACTCCCAAATATCCCCTCGAATATTCTACAAAAACTGTGTTTCCTAACTGCTCAATGAAAAGAATGGTTTCACTCTGTGAGATGAATGCACAAATCACATAGAAGTTTCTCAGAAATTTTCTTTCTAGTTTGTATCAGAAGATATTTCCTTTTCACCATAGTACTCAATATACTCCCAAATATCCATTCACAGATTCTACAAAAACTGTGTTTCCAAACTGCTGAATCAAAAGAAAGATTTAACTTTGTGAGATGAAGGCACATATCACAAAGCAGTTTCTGAGGAAGCTTCTTTCTAGTTTTTATGTGAAAATATTTCCTTTTTCACCTTTATACACAAAGGGCACCCAAATATTTCTTTGCAGATTCTACAAAAACAGTGTTTCCAAACTGCTTAATTCAAAGAAAGTTTTATCTCTGTGAGATGAATACACATATCACAAGGCAGTCTCTCAGAAATGTTCTTTCTATTTTTTATGGGATGATATTTCCTTTTTACCTTATGATTCAAAGGGCTCCCTGATATCCCTCTTCAGATTCTACAAAAAGAGTGTTTCCAAACCCCTCAATCAAAAGAATGGCTTAGCTCTGGCAGATGAATGCAGACATCACAAAACAGTTTCTCAGAAACTTTCTTTCTAGTTTGCATTGATAGATATTTCCTTTTTCATGATAGGCCTCAATGTACTCCCAAATATCCCTTCAAAGATCCCACAAACACTGTGTTTCCAAACTACTCCTACAAAAGAGAGGTTTAACTCTGTGACATGAATATATGTATTGCAAAGCAGTTTCTCATAAAGATTCTTTCTAGTTTTTATGTGAGGATATTTCTTTTTTCACCTTAAGACCCAAAAGTCTCCAAAATATTACTTTTCAGATTCTACAAAAACAGTTTTTTCCAAACTGCTCAATCAAAAGAAAGATATAACTCTGTGAGATGAATGCACATCACAAGGAGTTTCTCAGAAACTTTCTTTGTAGTTTGAATAGGAAGATATTTCTTTTTTCACCGTAAGACTCAATGGGCTCCAAAATATTCCTTTGCAGATTCTACAAAAACAGTGATTGCAACCTGCTCAATGAAAAGAAAGGTTTATCTCTGTGAGATGAATGTACACATCCAAAGCCGTTTCTCAGATACTTTCTTTTTAGTTTCTATGTGAAGATATTTCCTTTTTCACCATAGGCCTCAATTCGCTCCCAAATATCCCTTTGCAGATTGTAGAAAAACAGTTTTTCCAAACTGCACAATCAAAAGAAATGTTTAACTCTCTGAGATGAATGGAGAAAACACAAAACAGTTTCTCAGAAAACTTCTTTCTAGTTTTTGTGTGAAGATATTTCCTTTTTCACCAGAGGCCTCAATGCACTCCCAAATATCCTTTTGCAGCTTCAACAAAAACAGTGTTTCCAAACTGCTTTATCTAAAGAAACTTTTACCTCTGTGTGATGAATGAACATATCACAAAGCAGTTTCTCAGAAAGCTTCTTTCTAGTTTTCATGTGAAGATATTTCCTTTTTCACCAGAAGACACAAAGCCCTCCAAAATATCCCTTTGCAGATAATACAAAAACAGTGGTTCCTAACTGTTCATTCAAAAAAATGGTTCAACTATGTGAGATGAATGTGCACATCACAAAGCAGTTTCTGAGGAAACTTATGTCTAGTTTGTATTGGAAGATATATCCTTTTTCATCATAGGCCTCAATGTGTTCCCAAATATCTCCTCACAGATTCTACAGACATTGTGTGTCCGAACTGCTCAATCCAAAGAATGGTTTAACTCTTGAGATGAATGCATATATCACAAAGCAGTTCATCAGAAAGCTTGTTTCTAATTTTTATGTGAGGATATTCCCTTTTTCACCATAGGACTCAAAGTGCTGCCAATTATCCCTTCAAAGATTCTACAAAAACAGTGTTTCCAAGCTTCTCAATCACAAGAAAGGTTTAACTTTATGAAATGAATGCGCATATCACAAAACAGATTCTCAGAAATATTCTTTCTAGTTTTTATGTGAAGATATTTCCTTTTTCACCTTAACTCCCAAAGGCCCCTAAATGTCACATTGCAGATTCTACAAAAGCAGTGTTTCCAAAATGCTCAATCAAAAGAAAGATTTAACTTTGAGATGAATGCACACATCACAAGCAGATTCTCAGTAATTTGTATGAGAAGTTACATCCTTTTTCACCATAAGACACAAAGGCCTCCAAAATATTCCTTTGCAGATTCTACATAAACAGTGGTTCCAAACTGCTCAATCAAAAGTTAGGTTTAACTCTGTGAGATGAATGCACACATCAAAAAGCCATTTCTCAGTAACTTTCTTTCTAGTATACATCAAAAGATATTTCCTTTTACACCATAGGCCTCAATGCACTCCCAAATATCCCTTTGTAGATTGTAGAAAAACGGTTTTTCAAAACTGCTCAATCTAAAGAAATGTTTAACTCTGTCAGAAGAATGGGCGCAACACAAATTAGTTTCTATGAAATCTTCTTTCCAGTTTTTATGTTAAGATTCTTCCTTTTTCACCAGTCGTCTCAATGTGCTTCTAAATACACCTTTGCAGATTCTACAAAAATGGTATTTCCAAACTGCTCAATCAAAAGTAATTTTAAATCTGTGAGATGAATGCACATATCTCAAAGTAGTTTCTTCAAAAGCTCCTTTCTAGTTTTTATGTGAGAATATTTCCTTTTTCACCATAAGACTCAAAGGGCTCCAAAATAACCCTTTGCAGATTCTACAAAAACAGTGGTTGAAAACTGCTTAATCAAAAAGATGGTTCAACTCTGTGAGATGAATGCACACATCACAAAGCAGTTTCTCAGAAAGCTTCTGTCTACTGTGTATTGGAAGATATTTCCTTTTTCAACGTAGGACTCAATGTGCTCTGAAATATCCCTTTGCAGATCCAACAAACACTTTGTTTCCAAACTGCTCAATCCAAAGAATTTTTTAACGTTGTGAGATGAATGCACACATCCCAAAGCAGTTTCTCAGAAAGCTTCTGTCTACTTTGTATTGGAAGATATTTCCTTTTTCAACATAGGCCTCAATGTGCTCTGAAATATCCCTTTGCAGATCCAACAAACACTGTGTTTCCAAACTGCTCAATCCAAAGAATTTTTTAACGTTGTGAGATGAATGCACACATCCCAAAGCAGTTTCTCAGAAACTTCCTTTCACGTTTTTTCCTTTTTCAATGTAGGCCTCAATGCAGTCCCAAATATCCCTTTGCAGATTCTAGAAAAACTGTATTTCCAAACTGCTCAATGAAAAAGAAAACTTAACTCTGTGGGTTGAATGCACACATCACAAAACAGTATCTCAAAATTTTCTGATTAGTTTCTTTCTGAAGATATTTCCTTTTTCACCATAGGCCTCAAAGCTCTCCCAAATATGCCTGTGTAGATTTTATGAATACACTGTTGCCCAACTGCTCCTTCAAAAGGAAGGTTTAACTCTGTGAGATGAATGCAGACATCACAAAGCAGTTTCTCAGCAACTTTCTTTCTAGTTTGTATTGGAAGATATTTCCTTTTACACCATAGGCCTCGATGTTCTCCCAAATATCCCTTCGCAGATTCTACAAAAACAGTGATTCCAAACTGTTCAATCAAAAGAAAGTTTTAACTCTGTGAGATGAATGCACACATCCCAAAGCAGTTTCTCACAAAGCTTCTTTCTTGTTTGTATCTGAAGATATTTCCTTTTTTGCCATAGGACTCAATGCCCTCCCAAATATCCCTTCACAGGTGCTGCAAAAGAGGGATTCCAAACTGTTCTATCAAAAGAAAGGTTTAACTCTGTGAGACAAATATACACATCACAAAGCAGTTTCTCAGAAAGCTTCTTTCTAGTTGTTTTCTGAAGAGATGTCCTTTTCCCAATAGGCCTCAATGCGCTCCAAAGTATCTCTTTGCATATTCTACAAGAATAGTGTTTCCAACGTGCTCCACTAGTTTTATCTGAAGATATTTCCCTTTTCACCATAGGCCTCAAAGCACTTCAAATATGCCCCCATAGATACTACAAATACAGTGTTTCCAAACTGCTCCTTCTAAAGAATTGTTTAACTCTGTGAGATGAATGTAAACCTCACCAAGCAGCTTCTCACAAAGCTTCTTTCTAGTTTTTCTTTGAAGATATTTCCTTTTTCACAATTAGCCTCAATGCGCCCCCAAATATCCCTTCACAGATTCTACAAAAACATTTTATCCAAACCACTCCTCCAAAAGAAAGTTTCAATTCTGTGAGATGAAAGCACACATCACAAAGCAATTTCTCAGAAACTTCTGTCTAGTTTGTATCGGAAGATATTTCCTATTTCTCCATAGGCGTCAATGAGCTCCCAAATATCCCTTCACCAATTTCCGAAAACAGTGTTTGAAACTGCTCAATCACAAGAATGGTTTAACTCTGTTAGATGAATGCACTCATCACAAAGCAGTTTCTCAGAAAGCTTCTTTTGACTTTTTAGGTGAGGACATTTCCTTTTTCACATTAAGAATCAATGGGCTCCCAAATATCCCTTCACAGATTCTACAAAAACAGTGGTCCCAAATTGCATAATCAAAAGAAAGGTTTAACTGTGTGAGATGAATGAACACATCACAAAGCATTTTCTCAGAAATTTTCTGTTTAGTTTGTATCAGAAGATATTTACTTTTTCAACGTAGGTCTCAAAGCACTCCCAAATATCCCTTTGCAGATTCTACAAAAACTGTGTTTCCAAAGGGCTCAATCAAAAGAATGGTTTAACTCTGTGAGATGAATGCACACATCACAAAGCAGTTTCTCAGAAACTCTTTCAAGTTTGTAAAGGAAGATATCTCCTTTTTCACCATAGGCCTCAAAGCGCTCCCAAATATTCCTTTGCAGATTCTAGAAAAACATTCTTTCCAAACTGCTTAATGAAAACAAAGGTTTAACTCAGTGAGATGAATGCACACCTCACAAAGGAGTGTATCAGAAATCTACTGTCTAGTTTGTATCTGCTGTTATTTCCTTTTTGACCATAGGCCTCAAAGCTCTCCCAAATATACCTTCGCAGTTACTGCAAAACTGTGTTTCCAAACAGTTTCCTTTTATCTGTCAGATGAATGCATAAATCACAAAGAATTTTCTCAGAAACTTTCTTTCTAGTTTGTATTGGAAGATATTTCCTTGTTCACCATCAGCCTCAAGGCGCTCCCAAATATCCCTTCACAGATTCTAGAAAAACCATCTTTCCAAACTGCTCAATCAAAAGAAAGGTTTACCTCTGTGAGATGAATAGACACAACACACAGCAGTTTCTCACAGGCTTCTTTCTAGATTTTAAGTGAAGAAATTTCCTTTTTAACTATAGGCCTAAATGTGCTCCCAAATATACTGTTGCAGATTTTACAAAAACAGTGTTTCAAAGCTGCTCAATAAGAGGAAATGTTTAACTCTGTTAGATGAATGCACATATCACAAAGCAGTTTCTCAAAAACTTTCTTTCTAGTTTGTACTGGAAGATAGTTTATATTACCATAGGCTTCTGAGCACTCCCAAATATCCCTTTGCAGATTCTAGAAAAACAGTCTTTCCAAACTGCTTTATCAAAAGAAAGTTTTAACTCTAAGAGATCAATGCACACATCACATTGCAGTTTCTCAGAAAGATTTTCTCTAGTTGTTAACAGAAGATATTTCCTTGTTCACCATAGGGCTCAGAATGCTCCAAAATATCCCCTCACAGATTCTAGAAAAACAATGTTAGAAACTGCTCAATCAAAACAAAGGTTTAACTCTGTGAGATGAATGCACACATCACAAAGCAGTTTCTCAGAAAGCTTTGGTCTAGTTTGTATATGAAGATACTTCTTTTTTCACCTTAAGACTCAAAGGGCTCCCCAATATCGCTTTGAAAATTCTACACAAAGAGGGTTTCAAAACTGCTCAATCAAAAGAATGGTTTAGCTCTGTGAGATGAATGTACACATCACAAAGCAGTTTCTCAGAAAGCTTCTATCTAGTTTGTATCTGAAGGTATTTCTTTTTTCACCATAGGCATCAATGCGCTCCAAAATATCCTCTCTCAGAATCTACCAAAACCGTGTTTGAAACTACTCAATCACAAGAAAGGTTTAACTCTGTGATATGAATGCAGACATCACAAAGCAGTATCTGAGAATGCTTCCTACTAGTTTGTATCAGAAGATATTTTCTGGTTCACCATAGGCCTCAAGGTGATCCCAAATATCCCTTTCCATATTCTAGAGAAACAGTATTAGAAAGTGCTCAATGAAAAGAAACATTTAACTCTGTGAGATGAATGCAGACATCACAAAGCAATATCTGAGAATGCTTCTTTTTAGTTTGTATCAGAAGATAACTTCTTGTTCACCATAGGCCTCAAAACGATCCCAAATATCCCTTTCTATATTCTAGAAAAACAGTATTAGAAAGTGCTCAATGAAAAGAAAGGTTTAACTCTGTGAGATGATTGCACACGTCACAAAGCAGTTTCTCAGAAAGCTTCTTTTAACTTTTTAGGTGAAGATATTTCCTTTTTCACCATAAGAATCAATGGGCTCTGAAATATCCCTTTGCTGATTCTACAAAAACAGTGGTTCCAAATTTCTCAATCAAAAGTAAAGTTTAACTCTGTAGATGAATGCACACATCACAGAGAAGTTTCTCAGAAAGCTTCTGTCTAGTTTGTATCAGAAGATAATTCCTTTTTCACCATAGGCCTCAATGTGCTCCCAAATATCCCATTGCAGGTTCTACCAAAACTGTGTTGGAAACTGCTAAATCACAAGAAAGGTTTAACTCTGCGAGATGAATGCACACATCACAAAGAAGTATCTGACAAAGCTTCTGTCTAGTTTGTATCAGAAAATATTTCCTTTTTCACTCTATGCCCCAATGCCCTCCAAAGTAACCCTTCACAGATTAAAGAAAAACAGTGTTAGAAAGTGCTCAATGAAAAGAAAGGTTTAATTCTGTGAGAAGAATTCACACATCACAAAGCAGTTTCTCAGAAAGCTTCTATCTACCTTTTATCTGTAGATATTACCTTTTCACCCTAGGGCTCAATGCGCTGCCAATATATCTTTGCAGATTCTACAAAAACAGTGTTTACAAGTGGCTCAATCAAAGGAATGGTTTAACTCTATTAGATGAATGCACACAACACAAAGCAGTTTCACAGAAAGCTTCTTTCTAGTTTTTATGTGAGCATATTTCCTTTTTCACCATAAGACTCAAAGGGTTTCAAAATATCCTTCTGAAGAATCTACAAAAAAAGTGGTTCCAAAATGGTCAAAAAAAGAATGTTTCAACTCTGTCAGATGAATGTACACATCACAAAGCAGTTTTTCAGAAGGGGGTTCTTTCTAGTTTGAATTGGAAGCTATTCTTTTTTCACCATAGGCTTCAAAATGTTCCTAAATTTTCCTTTGCATATTCTACAAAAAAAGTTTTTTGAAACTGCACAATCAATAGAACGTTTTAACTGTAGAGATCAATGCACACATCATATTGCACTTTCTCAGAAAGTTTTGTCTACTGTGTATCTGACAATATTTCCTTGTTCACCATTGGTCTCTAAGTGCTCCAAAATATCCATTTGCAGATTCTAGAAAAAACATTTTTAGAAACAGCTCAATCAAAAGAAAGTTGTAACTCTGTGAGATGAATGCACACATCACAGAGCAGTTTCTCAGAAAGCTTCTGTCTAGTTTGTATTAGAAGATAATTCCTTTTTCACCATAGGCCTCAATGTGCTCCCAAATATCCCTTTGCAGATTCTACCAAAACTGTGTTGGAAACTGCTAAATCACAAGAAAGGTTTAACTCTGTGAGATGAATGCACACATCACAAAGAAGTATCTGACAAAGCTTCTGTCTAGTTTGTATCAGAAAATATTTCCTTTTTCACCATATGCCCCAAAGCCCTCCAAAGTAACCCTTCACAGATTATAGAAAAACAGTGTTAGAAAGTGCTCAATGAAAAGAAATGTTTAATTCTGAGAGAAGAATTCACACATCACAAAGCAGTTTCTCAGAAAGCTTCTATCTAGCTTTTATCTGTAGATATTACCTTTTTCACCCTAGGGCTCAATGCGCTGCCAAATATACCTTTGCAGATTCTACAAAAACAGTGTTTACAAGTGGCTCAATCAAAGGAATGGTTTAACTCTATTAGATGAATGCACACAACACAAAGCAGTTTCTCAGAAAGCTTCTTTCTAGTTTTTATGTTGAGCATATTTCCTTTTTCACTGTAAGACTCAAAGGGTTTCAAAATATCCCTTTGAAGAGCCGAAAAAAGAGTGGTTCCAAACTGGTCAACAAAAAGAACGTTTCAACTCTGTCAGATGAATGCGCACTTCACAAAGCAGTTTTTCAGAAAGCGTTCTTTCTAGTTTGGATTGGAATATATTATTTTTTCACCATAGGCCTCAAAATGTTCCTAAATATTCCTTTGCAGATTCTACAAAAAAAGTGTTTTCAAACTGCACAATCAATAGAACGTTTTAACTCTAGAGACCAATGCACACATCATATTGCAGTTTCTCAGAAAGTTTTGTCTATTGTGTATCTGACAATATTTCCTTGCTCACCATTGGCCTCTAAGTGCTCCAAAATAGCCATTTGCAGATTCTAGAAAAAACAGTTTTAGAAACAGCTCATTCTAAAGAAAGTTGTAACTCTGTGAGATGAATGCAAGTGTCACAGAGCAGATTCTCAGAAAATTCTGTATTGTTTGTATCTGAGGATATTTCCTTTTTCACCATAGGCCTCTAGGCAGACCAAAATATCCCTTCACGGATTCTACAAAAAGAGTGTTCCCAAATTGCTCAATCAAAAGAAAGGTTTAACTTTGTGACGTGAATGCACACATCACAAAACGGTTTCTCAGAAAGCTTCTTTCTTGTTTTTACGTGAAGATATTTCCTTTCTCAACTTAAGAGTCAATGGGCTCCCAAATATCTCTTTCCACGTTCTACAAAAACAGTGGTTCCAAATTGTTCAATCAAAAGAAAAGTTAAATTCTGTGAGATGAATTCATACATCACAAAGTAGTGTCTCAGAAAGCTTCTGTCTAGTTTGTATCCGAAGATATTTCATTTTTCACCAGAGGCCTCAAAGCCTTTGCAAATATCCCTTTGCAGATTCTACAAAAACTGTTTCCTCAAAAGGCTCAATCAAAAATTATGGTTTAACTATGTGAGATGCATGCAAACATAACAAAGCAATTTCTCAGAAACTTTCTATCTAGTTTGTATCGGAAGATATTTCCTTTTTCACCATAGGCCTCAGAGGGCTTGCAAATATCCTTTTGCAGACTCTAGAAAAACAGTCGTTCCAAACTGCTCAATGAAAAGAAAGGTTTAACTCTGTGAGATGAATGCACACATCACAAGCAGTTTCTCAGATAGCTTCTGTCAAGTTTGTGCCTCAAGATATTTCCTTTTTCATCATAGGCCTCAATGCACTCCCATATATCTCTTCTCAGATACTGCAAAAACTGTGTTTCCAAGCTGCTCAATAGAAGGAATGGTTTAACTCAGTGAGATAAATGCACACATCACAAACAGTTTCTTGGAAAGCTTCTTTCCATTTTTTAAGTGAAGGTATTTCCTTTATGACTATAGGCCTCACTGCACTCCCAAATTTCCCTTTGCAGATCCTACAAAAACGGAGTTTCCAAACTGCTTAATCAAAAGAAAGCTTTAACTGTGTGAGATGAATGCAAACATCACAAAGCAGTTTTTCAGAACTTTCTGTCTATTCTGTATCAGAAGATAGTTTATTTTAGCATAGTCCTCAATGCACTCCCAAATACCCCTTCTAGAAGATTCTAGAAAAACAGTCTTTCCAAATGGCGTAATCAAAAGAAAGGATCAACACTGTGAGATGAATGCACGCATCACAAAGCAGTTTCTTAGAAAGCTTCGGTCTGCTTTGAATCTGAAGATATTCCTTTTTCACTGTAGGCTTCAATGCACTCCCAAATATCCCTTCACAGATTCTACAAAAAACAGTGTTTTCAAACTGCACAATCAAAAGAAAGTTTTAACACTATGAGATCAATACTCATATCACATTGCACTTTCTCATAAAGCTTCTTTCTGATTTTTCTCTGAAGATATTTCTCTTTTCACCCCAGGCATCAGTGCACTCCCAAATATCCCTTCATGGATTCTACAAAAACACTGTTTCCAAACTTCTCAATCAAACGAAAGGTTTAGCTCTGTGAGATGAATGCACACATCACAAAGCAGTTTCTATGAAAGTTTTTTCTACATTTTATGTGAAGATATTTCCTTTTTCACCTTAAGAATCAATGGGCTCCCAAATATCCCTTTGCAGATTCAACAAAAACAGTGGTTCCAAATTGCTCAATCAAAAGAAAGGTTTAACTCTGTGAGATTAATGCACACATCAGGAAGCAGTTTTTCAGAAAGCTTCTGTGAAGTTTGTATTGGAAGATATTTACTTTTTCACCATAGATCTCAAAGCACTCCCAATTTTCCCTTCACAGATTCTAGAAAATCAGTGTTTCCAAACTGCTCCATCAAAAGAAAGGTTTAACTGTGAGATAAATGCACACATCACAAAGGAGTTTCTTAGAAACTTTCTTTCTAGTTTGTATCTGAAGTTATTTCCTTTTTCACCATAGGACTCTATTCACTCCCAAATATCCCTTTGCAGATTCTAGAAAAACAGTCTTTCCAAACTGCTTAATCAATAGAAAGGATCAACTCCGTGAGATGAATGCACACATCACAAAGCAGTTTCTCAATATGATTCTGTCTGTTTTGAATCTGAAGATATTCCTTTTTCACCACAGGCCTCAAAGTGCCCTGAAATATCACTTCACAGATTCTACAAAAGCAATGTTTCCAAACCGCAAAATCAAAAGTAAGTTTTAACTCTATAAGATCAATGCACACATCACATTGCAGGTTCTCAGAAAGCTCTTGTCCAGTTTGTATCTGAAAAAATTTCCTTTTTCACCATAGACCCCAGTGCCCTCTAAGGTAACCCTTTGCAGATTATAGAAAAACAGTGTTAGAAAGTGCTCAATGAAAATAAACGTTTAATTCTGTGAGATGAATGTATACATCAAAAAGAAGTTTCTCAGAAAGCTTCTGCCTAGCTTTTTTCTGTAGATATTCCCTTTTTCACCCAAGGATTCAATGTGCTCCCAAATATACCTTCCCAGATGCTACAAAAACAGTGTTTCCAAATTGCTAAATCAAAAGAATGATTTAACTCTGTTATACGAATGCACGCATCACAAAGCAGTTTCTCAGAAAGCTTCTTTCTAGTTTTAATGTGAAGATATTTCCTTTTTCACCTTAAGAATCAATGAGCTCCCAAATAACACTTTGCAGATTCTACAAAAACAGTGGCTTCAAATTGCTCAATCAAAAGAAAAGTTTAACTATGTGAGATGAATGCTCACATCACCCAGAAGTTTCTCAGAAAGCTTCTCTCTAGTTTGTATCTGAATATGTATTCTTTTTCACATTAGGCCTCAAAGCCCTCCAAAATATCCCTTCACAGATTCTACAAAAACAGTGTTTCCAAACTACTCAATCAAAAAAAGTTTTAACTCTGTGAGATGAATGCACATATCACAAAGCAGTTTCTCAGAATGCTTCTTTCTTGTCTTTATGTGAAGATATTTCCTTTTTCAACATAAGACTCAATGGGATCCAAAATTTGCCTTTGGAGATTCTACAAAAACAGTGTTTCCAAACTAGTCAATGAAAAGAAAAGTTTATCTCTGTGAGATAAATGCACACATCACAAAGCAGTTGCTCAGAAACTTTCTTCCTAGATTTTATTTGAAGATTTTTCCTTTTTTGCCATAGGCCTCAATGCACTCCCGTTTTCCTTCACAGATTCTGTAAAAACAGTGTTTACAAACTGCTCAATCAAAAGAAAGTGTTAACTCTAAGATGAATGCACACATCACAAAGCAGTTTGTCAGAAAGCTTCTGTCTAGTTTGTATCAGAAGGTATTTCGTTTTTAACAGTAGGTCTCCATGTGCTCCCAAATTTGCATTCAAACAATCTTCAAAAACCGTGTTTTGAAACCGCTGAATCAGAAGAAATATTTAAGTCTATGAGATGAATGGACAAAACACACAGAAGTTTCTCAGAAAGCTTCTTTCTAGTTTTTATGTGAAGGTATTTCCTTTTTCACAATAGGCCTTGTGGTGCTCCCAAATATCCCTTTGCAGATTCTACAAAAACAGTATTTCCAAACTGCTCAATCAAAGAAAGGTTTAACTCTGTGCTATGAATGCAAATATCTCACTGCAGTTTCTCAGAATGCTTCTGTCTAGTTGTTATCAGAAGATATATATCCTTTTCACAATAGGCCTCAATGCACTGCCAAATATCTCTTCACAGATTCTACAAAAACAGTTTTTCCAAATGGCTCTACCAAAAGAAAGGTTTAACTCTGAGAGATGAATGCACATATCACAAAGCAGTTTCTCAGAAAGATTCTTTCTAGTTTTTATGTGAAGAATTTTTCTTTTTCACCTTAAGACTCATAGAGCTACAAAATATCACTTTGCAGATTCTACAAAACCGTGTTTCAAAACTGCTCAATAAGAAGACTGGTTTAGCTCTGTGACGTGCATGCATACATCACAAAGCAGTTTCTCAGAAAGCTTCTGTCTAGTTCGTATCGGAAGATATTTCCTTTTTCACCACAGGCCTCAGTCTGCTCCCAAATATCCCTCTGCAGTTTCTAGAAAAACTTTCTTTCCAAAATGCTCAATCAAAAGAAAGTTTTTACTCCATGAGATGAATACACAAATCACAAAGCAGTTTCTCAGAAACTTTCTTTCTAGTTTGTCTCAAAAGATATTTCCTTTTTCAACACAGGCTCAATGCACTCCTAAATATCCCTTTGCAGATTCTAGAAGAACAGACTTTCTAAATTGCTAAATCAAAAACAGGATTAACGCTGAGAGATGAATGCACATATCACAAACCAGTTTTTCAGAATGCTTCTGTGTAGTTTATATCTGAAGATATATACCCTTTTTCACATAGGCCTCGATGCTCTAAAAAATATCCCTTTGCATATTCTACCAAAACTGTGTTTCCAAATTGTTCCATCAAAATAAAGATTAAACTCTGTGAGACGAATGCACATATCACAAAGCAGTTTCTCAGAAAGCTCCTTTCTTGTTTTTTGTGAAGATATTTCCTTTTTCACCGTAAGAATCAATGGGGTCCCAAATATCCCTTTGCAGATTCTACAAAAACAGTGTTTCCAAACTGCTTAATCAAAAGAAAGATTTACCTCTGTGAGATGAATGCATGCACCACAAAGCAGTTTCTCAGAAACCTTCTGTCTAGTTTTTATGTGAAGATATTCCCTTTTTCCCCTTAAGAATCAAAGGACTACCCAACATCCCTTTGCAGATTCGACAAAAACAGTGTTTCCAAACTGCTCAATCAAAACAAAGGTTTAACTCCCTCAAATGAATGCACACATCACAAAGCAGTTTCTCAGAAAGCTTCTGTCTAGTTTGTATCGGAAGATATTTCTGTTTCACCACAGGCCTCAATGCGCTCCCAAATATCCCTTTGAAGTTACTAGAAAAATGGTCTTTCCAAACTGCTAAAACAAAAGAAAGGATTAACTCTGTGACATGAATGCACACATCAAAAAGCAGTTTCTCAGAATGCTTCTGTCTAGTTTGTGTCTGCAGATATACATCCTTTTCATCATAGGCCTCAATGTTCTGCCAAATATCACATCACAGATTCTAGAAAATCTGTCCTTCCAAATTGCCCCATAAAAACAACAGTTTAACTCTGTGAGATGAATGCAAATATCACAAAGCAGTTTGTCAGAAAGCTTCTTTCTACTTTTTATGTGAAGATGTTTCCTTTTTCACCATAGGCCTCAAGGCACTCCCAAATATCCCTTTGCAGATTCTATAAACACTGTGTTTCCAAACTGCTAAGTCAAAAGAGAGGTTTAACTCTGTGAGATGAAGGCACACATAACAAAGCAGTTTCTCAGAATGCCTCTTTTTAGTTTTTATGTGAAGATATTCCCTTTTTCACCTTAAGACTCAAAGTGCTGCCCAATATCCCTTGGCAGGTACTACAAAAACAGTGTTTCCAAAATGCTCAATCAGAAGAGTGGTTTAACTCTATGAGATTAATCAACACATCACAAAGAAACTGCTCAGAAAGCATCTTTCTAGCTTGTACCAGAAGATATTTCCTTTTTCACCTTTGGCCTCAATGATCTCCAAGTATCCCTTTGCAGATTCTATGAAAACAGTGTTTCCAAACTGCTGAATCAAAAGAAATGCTTAACTCTGTGAGATGAATGCACACAGCACAAAGCAGTTTTTCAGAAATTTTCTTTCTAGTTTGTATTGGAAGATAATTCCATTTTCACAAGAGGCCTCAATGCGCATCGAAATATCCCTTTGCAGGTGCTAGGAAAACAGTATTTCCACACTGCTCAATGAAAAGAAAGGTTTAATTCTGTGACTTGAATGGACACATCACAAAGCAGTTTCTCAGAAAGCTTCTGTCTAGTTTGTGTATGAAGATATATGTCCTTTTCACCAGAGGCCTCAATGGGCTCTGAAATATCCCTACACAGATTCCACAGAGACAGGGTTTCCAAACTGCTTCATCAAAGGAAAAGTTTAACTCTGTGAGATGAATGCATATATCACATGGCAGTTTCTCAGAAAGTTTCTTTCTAATTTTTATGTGAAGATATGTCCTTTTCGCCGTAAGACAAAATGGGCTCTAAAACAAGCTTTTGCAGACTTTACAAAAATGGTTCCCACGCTGCTCAGTGAAAAGAAAGTTTTAACTGTGTTAGGTGAATACACACATCACAAAGCAGTTTCACAGAAAGCTTCTTTCTAGTTTTTATGTAAAGATATTTCCTTTTCACCATTGGCCACAATGCACTCCCAAATATCCTGCCACAGATTCTTCAAAAACAGGTTTAGAAACTGCTCAATCACAAGAAAGGTTTAACTCTGTGATATGAATGCACACATCAGAAAGCACTTTCAGAGAAAGCTTCTGTCTAGTTTGTATCTGAAGGTATATCCCTTTTCAGCACAGGCCTCAATGCACTCCCAAATATGAGTTCGCAGATTCTACAATAACAGTGTTTCCAAACTGCTCAAGAAAAACAAAGGTTTAACTCTGTGAGATGAATGCACATATCACAAAGCAGTTTCTCAGAAATCTTCTTTCTAGTTTTTATGTGAAGATATTTCCTTTTTCACCTTAAGACTCAATGTTGTACACATTATCCCTTTGGAGAGTCTACAAAAAGAGTGTTTCCAAACTGCTCAATCAAAAGAAAGGTTTAACTCTGTGAGATGAATGCACAAATCACAAAGTAGTTTCTCAGAAAGCTTCTCTCTAGTTTGAATCTGAAGAATTTCCTTTTTCATCTTAGGTCTCAATGCACTCCCAAATATACCTTTGCAGATCCTACAAAAGCAGTGTTTCCAAACTGCTGAATCAAAACAAAGGTTTAGCTCTCTCAAATGAATACACACATCACAAAGAAGTTTCTCAGAAAGCTTCTGTCTTGTTTGTATGTGAAGATGTTTCCTTTTTTATCCTAGTCCCCAATGCGTTTCCAAATATCCCTGCATAGAGTCTACAAAAACAGTGTTTCCAGCGTTCTTAATCAAAGCAAATGTTTAACTCTGTGAGGTGAATGGACAAAACATACAGCAGTTTCTCAGAAAGCTTCTTTCTAGTTTTTATGTGAAGATCCTTCCTTTTTCACCATAGGCCTACCTGCACTCCAAAATATCCCTTTACGTATTCTACAAAAACGGTGCTTCCAAACTGCTCAATGAAAAGAAAGGTTTAAATCTATGAGATGAATGCACACATCACAAAGTGGTTTCTCAGAAAGCTTCTGTCTAGTTTGTATCAGAAGATATATGCTTTTTCACCATAGGCCTCAATGCTCTCCCAATATCCCCTTGCAGATTCTATAAAAACAGTGTTTCCAAGCTGCTCAATCAAAAGAAAGCTTTAACTCTGTGAGATGAATGCACTTATCACAAAGCAGTTTCTCAGAAAGCTTCTTTCTAGTTTTTATGTGAACATATTTCCCTTTCCAACATAAGGGTCAATGGGCTCCAAAATATCCCTCTGTAGATTCTACAAAAACACTGTATCAAACCTACTCAATCAAAAGAATGGTTTAACTCTGTGAGATGAATGCACAAGACAAAAAGCAGTTTCTCAGAAACATTCTTTCTAGTTTGTATCTGAAGTTATTTCCTTTTTTGCCATAGGACTCAATGCTCTCTAAATATCCCTTTGCAGACTCTAGAAAAACAGTGTTTCTAAACTGCTCAATCAAAAGAATAGTTTATCCCCATGAGATTAATGCACACATCACAAAAAAGTTTCTCAAAAAGCTTCTGTTTAGTTTGCATCTGAAAATATTTCCTTTTTCATCATAGGACTCAAAGCGCTCCCAAATATCCCTTTGCATATTCTTCCAAAACAGTGTTTCCAAACTGCTCAGTAAAAAGAAAGTTTTAACTCTCTGTGATGAATGCACACATCACAATGAAGTTTCTCAGAAAGCTTCTGTTTAGTTTGTATCTGAAGACATATCCTTTTTCACCATAGGCCTCACTGCACTCCCAAATATCCCTTCACAGATTCTACCAAAACAGTGTTTGAAGCCGATCAATCACAAGAAAGGTTTAATTCTGTGAGATGAATTCACACATTACAAAGCAGTTTCTGAGAAAGCTTCTTTCTAGTTTGTATGTGAAGATATTTCCTTGTTCACCATAGGCCGCAATGTGATCCCAAATATCCCTTCACAGATTATAAAAAAAAAAAAAAACTGTGGTAGAAAGTGCTCAATCAAAAGAAAGGTTTAACTCTCTGAGATGAATGCACACATCACAAAGTAGTTTCTCAGAATGCTTCTTTCTAGATTTTATGTGAGGTATTTCCTTTTTCATCTTAATACTCAAAGGGCTCCCCAATATCCCTTTGCAGATTCTACAAAAAGAGTGTTTCCAAACTGCTCAATAAAAAAAAATGTAATTTAAATCTGTTAGATGAATGAACACATCACAAAGCAGTTTCTCAGAAACTTTCTTTCTAGTTTGTATCAGAAGATATTTCCTTTTTCAACATAGGCCTCAAAGTGCTCCCAAATATGCCTTTGCAGATTCTAGTAAAATAGTCTTTCCAAACGGCTCAAACAAAAGGAATGTTTAACTCTCTGAGATGAATGCACACATCACAAATTAGTTTCTCAGAAACTTTGTTTCTAGTATGTATTGGAAGATATTTACTTTTCACCAGAAGCCTCAATGCTCACCCAAATATCCCTTCGCAGATTACAGAAAAACAGTTTCCAACCTGCTCAATCAGAAGACATGTTTAACTCTGTGAGATGAACAGACACAACACACAGCAGTTTCTCAGAAAGCTTCTTTCTAGTTTTTATTTTTTTTAATTTTTTTTATTATACTTTAAGATTTAGGGTACATGTGCAAAACGTTCAGGTTAGTTACACGTGTATACATGTGCCATGTTGGTGTGCTGCACCCATTAACTCATCATTTAACGTTAGGTATATCTCCTAATGCTATACCTCCCCCCTCCCCAGACCCCAAAACTGGCCCCACTGTGTGCTGTTCCCCTTCCAGTGTCCATGTATTCTCACTGTTCAATTCCCACCTATGAGAGAGATCATGCGGTGTTTGGTTTTTCATCCTTGCGATAGTTTGCTGAGAATGATGGTTTCCAGCTTCATCCATGTCCCTACAAACGACATGAACTCATCATTTTTTATGGCTGCATAGTATTCCATGGTGTATATGTGCCACGTTTTCTTAATCCAGTCTATCATTGTTGGACATTTGTGTTGGTTCCAAGTCTTTGCTATTGTGAATAGTGCCACAATAAACACAAGTGTGCATGTGTCTTTATAGCAGCATGATTTATAATCCCTTGGGTATATACCCAGTAATGTGATGGCTGTGTTAAATGATATTTCTAGTTCTAGATCCCTGAGGAATCACCACACTGACTTCCTCAATGGTTGAACTACTTTACAGTCCCACCAACAGTGTAAAAGTGTGTGTATTTCTCCACATCCTCTCCAGCAGCTCTTGTTTCCTGACTTTTTAATGATTGCCATTCTAACTGGTGTGAGATGGTACCTCATTGTGGTTTTGATTTGCATTACTCTGATGGCCAGTGATAATGAGCATTTTTGATGTGCCTGTTGCCTGCATAAATGTCCTCTTTTGAGAAGTGTCTGTTCATATCCTTCTCACATTTGTTGATGGGGTTGTTTGTTTTTTTCTTGTAAATTTGTTTGAGTTCATTGTAGATTCTGGGTATTAGCCCTTTGTCAGATGAGTAGGTTGCAAATATATTCTCCCATTCTGTAGGTTGCCTGTTCACTCTGATGGTAGTTTCTTTTGCTGTGCAGAAGCTCTTTAGCTTAATTAGATCCCATTTGTCAATTTTGGCTTTTGTTGCTATTGTGTTTGGTGTTTTAGATATGAAGTCCTTGCCCATGCCTATGTCTTGAGTGGTGTTGCCTAGGTTTTCTTCTAGGGCTTTTATGGTTTGAGGTCCAACAAGTAAGTCTTTAATCCGTCTTGAATTAATTTTTGTATAAGGTGTAAGGAAGGGATCTAGTTTCAGCTTTCTACATAAGGATAGCCAGTTTTCCCAGCACCATTTATTAAATAGGGAATCATTTCCCCATTGCTTGTTTTTGTCAGGTTTGTCAAAGATCAGATGGTTGTAGATATGTGGCATTATTTCTGAGGGCTCTGTTGTGTTCCATTGGTCTATATCTTTGTTTTCATATCAGTACCATGCTGTTTTGGTTACTGTAGCCTGGTAGTATAGTTTGAAGTCAGGTAGCGTGATATCTCCAGCTTTGTTCTTTTGGCTTAGGATTGACTTGGCAATGCGGGCTCTTTTTTGGTTCCATATGAACTTTAAAGTAATTTTTTCCAATTCTGTGAAGAAAGTCATTGGTAGCTTGATGGGGATGACATTGAGTCTATAAATTACTGAGGGCAGTATAGCCATTTTCACGATATTGATTCTTCCTACCATGAGCATGGAATGTTCTTCCATCTGTTTGTATCCTCTTTTATGTCATTGAGCAGTGGTTTGTAGTTCTTCTTGAAGAGGTCCTTCATGTCCCTTGTAAGTTAGATTCCTAGGTATTTTATTCTCTTTGAAGCAATTGTGAATGGGAGTTCACTCATGATTTGGATCTCTGTTTGTCTGTTATTGGTGTATAAGAATGTTTGTGATTTTTATACATTGATTTTGTATCCTGAGACTGCTGAAGATGCCCATCAGCTTAAGGAGATTTTGGGCTGAGACAATGGGGTTTTCTAGATATGCAAACATGTCATCTGTGAACAGGGACAATTTGACTTCCTCTTTTCCTAATTGAACACCCTTTATTTCCTTCTCCTGCCTGATTGTTCTGGCTAGAACTTCCAACACTATGTTGAATAGGAGTGGTGAGAGAGGGCATCCCTGTCTTGTGCCAGTTTTCAAAGGGAATGCTTCCAGTTTTTGCCCATTCAGTATGATACTGGCTGTGGGTTTGTCATAGATAGCTCTTATTATTTTGAGATACTTCCCATCAATATCTAATTTATTGAGAGTTTTTAGCATGAAGTGTTGTTGAATTTTTCAAAGGCCTTTTCTGCATCTATTGAGATAATATGATTTTTGTCTTTGGTTCTGTTTATAAGCTGGATGACGTTTATTGATTTGCTTATGTTGAACCAGCCTTGCAACCCAGGGATGAAGCCTACTTGATCATGGAGGATAAGCTTTTTGATGTGTTGCTGGATTCGATTTGCCAGTATTTTATTGAGGATTTTTGCATGATGTTCATCAGAGATATTGGTCTAAATTTCTCTTTTTTGTGTGTGTCTCTGTTAGGCTTTGGTGTCAGGATGATGCTGGCTTCATAAAATGAGTTAGGGAGTATTCCCTCTTTTTCTATTGATTGGAATAGTTTCAGAAGGAATGGTACAAACTCCTCCTTGTACCTCTGGTAGAATTTGGCTGTGAATCCATCTGGTCCTGGCCTTTTTTTTGGCTGGTATGCTATTAATTATTGCCTCAATTTCAGATCCTGTCATTGGTCTATTCAGAGAGGCAACTTCTTCCTGGTTTAGTCTTGGGAGGGTGCATGTGTTGAGGAATTTACCCATTTCTTCTAGATTTTCTAGTTTATTTGCGTAGAGGTGTTTATAGTATTCTCTGATGGTAGCTTGTATTTCTGTGGGATCGGCGGTGACATCCCCTTTATCATTTTTATTGCGTTTATTTGATTCCTCTCCCTTTTCTTCTTTATTAGTCTTGCTATCTGTCCATCAATTTTGTTGATCTTTTCAAAAAACAGCTCCTAGATTCACTGATTTTTTCAAGGGTTTTTTGTGTCTCTATTTCCTTCAGTTCTGCTCTGATCTTATTTATTTCTTGCCTTCTGCTAGCTTTTGAATATGTTTGCTCTTGCTTCTCTAGTTCTTTTAATTGTGATGATAAGGTGTCAATTTTGGATCTTTCCTGCTTTCTCTTGTGGGCATTTAGAGCTATAAATTTCCCTCTGCACACTGCTTTGAATGCGTTCCAGAGACTCTGGTATGTTGTGTCTTTGTTCTCGTTGGTTTCAAAGAACATCTTTATTTTGGCCTTCATTTCATTAGTACCCAGTATTTATTCAGGAGCAGGTTGTTCAGTTTCCATGTAGTTGAGTGGCTTTGAGTGAGTTTCTTAATCCTAAGTTCTAGTTTGATTGCACTGTGGTCTGAAAGACAGTTTGTGATAATTTCTGTTCTTTTACATTTGCTGAGGAATGCTTTACTTCCAACTATGTGGTCAATTTTGGAATAAATGTAGTGAGGTGCTGAGACAAACGTATATTCTGTTGATTTGGGGTGGAGAGTTCTGTAGATGTCTGTTAGGACCGCTTGGTGCAGAGCTGAATTGAATTCCTGGATATCCTCGTTAACTTTCAGTCTCATTGATCTGTCTAATATTGACAAGGGGGTGTAAAAGTCTCCCACCATTATTGTGTGGGAGTCTCAGTCTCTTCCTAGGTCTCTAATTACTTTTTTTATGAATCTGGGTGCTCCTGTATTGGGTGCATATATATTTAGGATAGTTAGCTCTTCTTGTGGAATTGATCCCTTTACCACTATATAATAGCCTTCTTTGTCTCTTTTGATCTTTGTTGGTTTAAAGTCTGTTTTATCAGAGACGAGGATTGCAACCCCTGCTTTTTTTTGTTTTCCATTTGCTTGGTAGATCTTCCTCCATCCCTTTATTTTGAGCCTATGTGTGTCTCTGCCTGTGAGACGGGTTTCCTGAATACAGCACACTGATGGGTCTTGACTCTTTATCCAATTTGCCAGTCTGTGTCTTTTAATTGGGGCATTTAGTCCATTCACATTTAAAGTTAATATTGTTATGTGTGAATTTGATCCTGTCATTATGATGTTTGCTGGTCATTTTGCTCGTTAGTTGTAGTTTCTTCCTAGCCTTGAGAGTCTTTACAATTTGGCATATTTTTGCAGTGGCTGGTACCAGTTGTTCCTTTGCATGCTTAGTGCTTCCTTCAGGGGCTCTTTTAGGGCAGGTCTGGTGGTGACAAAATCTCTCAGCATTTGCTTGTCTGTAAAGTATTTTATTTCTCCTTCACTTAGGAAGCTTAGTTTGGCTGGATATGAAATTCTAGTTTGAAAATTCTTTTCTTTAAGAATGTTGAATATTGGCCGCAACTCTCTTCTGGCTTGTAGAGTTTCTGCTGAGAGAGCAGCTGTTAGTCTGATGGGCTTCCCTTTGTGGGTAACCCAACCTTTCTCTCTCGCTGCCCTTAACATTTTTCCTTCATTTTAACTTTGGTGTTTCTGTCAATTATATGTCTTGGAGTTGCTCTTCTCGAGGAGTATCTTTGTGGCATTCTCTGTATTTTCTGAATTTGAATTTTGGCCTGCCTTGTTAGATTGGGGAAATCCTCCTGGACAATATCCTGCAGAGTGTTTTCCAACTTGGTTCCATTCTTCCCGTCACTTTCAGGTATACCAATCAGAGGTAGATTTGGACTTTTCACATAGTCCCATATTTCTTGGAGGCTTTGTTCATTTCTTTTTATTCTTTTTTCTGTAAACTTCTGTTCTCACTTCATGTTATTCATTTGATCTGCCATCACTGATACCCTTTCTTCCAGTTGATTGGATTGGCTATTGAAACTTGTGCATTCATCACATAGTTCTCATGCCTTGGCTTTCAGCTCCATCAGGTCCTTTAAGGACTTCTCTGCATTGATTATTCTAGTTAGCTCTTTGTCTATTTTTTTCAGTGTTTTTAACTTCCTTGCCGTGGGTTCAAACTTCCGCCTTTAGCTTGGAGTAGTTTCATCATTGGGAGTCTTCTTCTCTCAACTCATCAAATTCATTCTCCATCCAGCTTTGTTCCATTGTTGGTGAGGAGCTGCATTCCTTTGGAGGAGGAGAGGTGCTCTGATTTTTAGTGTTTTCAGTTTTTCTGCTCTGTTTTTTCCCCATCTTTGTGGTTTATCTACCTTTGGTCTTTGATGATGGTGACATACAGATGGGGTTTTGGTGTGGATGTCCTTTCTGTTTGTTAGTTTTCCTTCTGCCAGTGGAGACCCTCAGCTGCAGGTCTGTTGGAGTTTCCTGGAGGTCCACTCCATACCCTGTATTCCTGGGTATCAGCAGCAGATGCTGCAGAACAACGAATATTGGTGAACAGCAAATGCTGCTGCCTGATTGTTCCTCTGGAAGTTTTGTCTCAGAGGAGTACCCAGCTGTGCGAGGTGTCAGTCTGCCCCTACTAGGGGGTGCCTCCCAGTTAGGCTTCTTGGGGTTCAGGGACCCACTTGAGGAGGCAGTCTGTCTGTTCTAAGATCTCCAGCTGTGTGCTGGGAGAACCACTACTCTCTTCAATGCTGTCAGACAGGGACCTTTAAGTCTGCACAGGATTCTGCTTCCTTTTGTTGGGCTATTCCCTGCCCCCAGAGGTGGACTCTACTACAGAGGCAGGCAGCCCTCCTTGAGCTGCAGTGGGCTCCACCCAATTCAAGCTTTCCGGCCACTTTGTTTAACTACTCAAGCCTCGGCAATGGCAAGTGCCTCTCCCCCAGCCTTGCTGCTGCCTTGCAGTTTGATCTCAGGCTACTGTGCTAGCAATGAGTAAGGCTCCGTGGGCATAGGACCTTCTGAGCCATGTGTGGGATATAATCTCCTGGTGTGTCATTTGCTAAGACCATTGGAAAAGTGCGATATTTGGGTGGGAATGAAACGATTTTCCAGGTGCCGTCTGTCACCCCTTTCTTTGACTAGGAAAGGGAATTCCCTGACCCCTTGAACTTTCCAGGTGAGGTGATGCCTCACCTTGCTTCAGCTCATGCTCTGTGTGCTGCACCCACTGTCCTGCACCCACTTTCTGACACTCCCCAGAGAGATGAACCAGGTACCTTAGTTGGAAATGCAGAAATCACCGATCTTCTGTGTTGCTCATGCTGGGTGCTGTAGACAGGAGCTGTTCCTATTTGGCCATCTTTGCTTCTTTCTAGTTTTTATGTGAAGACATTTCCTTTTTGACTATAGGCCTCAATACACTCGCTAACATTGCTATGCAGGTTGTACAAAAACAATCTTCTCAAATTGCTCAATCAAAAGAAAGGATTAACACTGTGAGATGAATGCAAACGTCACAAAGCAGTTTCTAGAAAGTTTCTGTCCCGTTTGAATCTCGAGATATTCCTATTTCACCATAGGCTTCAATGTGATCCCAAAAATCCCTTCGCAGATTCTACAAAAACAGTGTTTCCAAACTAGACAATCAAAAGAAAGCTTTAACTCTATGAGATGAGTGACCACATTATATTGTAGTTTATCAGAATGCTTCTTTCTAGGTTTTATCTGAGGATATTTCCCTGTTCACCATAGGCCTCAATGCACTCCAAAGTATCCCTCCACAGATTCTAGAAAAGCAGTGTCTGCAACTGCTCAATCAAAACAAAGGTTTAACTCTGTGAGATGAATGCACACATCACAAAGCAGTTTCTCAGAAATAATCTGTTTAGTTTGTCTCAGAAGATATTTCCTTTTTCACCTTAAGACTCAAGGGGCTCCCCAATATCCCTTTGCATATTCTACAAAAACAGTGGTTCCAAACTCCTAACTCAGAAGAATGGTTTAGCTCTGTGAGATGCAAGCACACATCCAAAGTAGTTTCTCAGAAAACTTCTGTCTAGTTTTTATTGGAAGATGTATCCTTTTCCACCATACACCTCAATGCCCTTTCAAATATCCCTTTGCAGATTCTAGAAAAACAGTCTTTCCAAACTGCTCAATCAAAAGAAAGGTTTAACTCTGTGAGATGAATGCACACATCACAAAGCAGTTTCTCAGAAACCTTCTCCCTAGTGTGTATCTAAAGATATTTTCTTTTTCACTGCAAGCCTCAATGCTCTCCCAAATATCCCTTTGCAGATCCTACTAAAACAGTGTTTGAAACTGCTCAATCACAAGAAAGGTTTAACTCTGTGAGAAGAATGCACACATTGCAAAGCAGTATCTGAGAAAACTTCTGTCTAGTTATTATCTGAAGATATTTCTTTGTTCACCGTAGGCCTCAATGCACTCCCAAATATCCCTTCACAGATTCTAGAAAAACAGTGTTAGAAAGTCATCAATCAACAGAAAGATTTAACTCTGTCAGTTGAATGCACACATCACAGAACAGTTTCTCAGAAAGCTTCTGTCTAGTTTTCATGTGAAGATATTTCGTTTTTCAGCATAAGTATCAATGGGCTCCCAGATATCCACTTGCAGATTCTACAAAGCAGTGTTTCCAAACTACTCATTCAAAAGAAAGGTTTAACCCTGTGAGATGAATGCACATATCACAAAGCAGTTTCTCTTAAAGCTCCTTTGTAGTTTTTATGTGAAGATATTTCCTTTTTTACCACAAGACTCAAAGGACTCCAAAATATCTCTTTGCAGATTCTACAAAAACAGTGATTCCAAACTGCTCAATCAAAGGAACGGTTTAACTCTGTGAGATGAATGCACACATCACAAAGCAGTTTCTCAGAAACATTCTTTCTAGTTTTTATCATATTTCCTTTTTCACCATAGGCCTCAATGCGCTCCCAAATATCCATTCACAGATTCTAGAAAAACAGTCTTTCCAGACTGCTCAAAGAACAAAAAAGTGTAATTGTGTGAGTTGAATGCACACATAACAAAGCAGTTTCTCAGAAACTTTGTTTATATTTAGTATCAGAAGATATTCTCTTTTTCACCATAGGCCTGAATGCACTCCCAAATATCCCTTCACAGATTATAGAAAAACAGTGTTTCCAAACTGCTCAATCAAAAGTCATGTTTAACTCTGTGCAATGAATGGACACAACACAGAACAGTTTCTCAGAAAGCTTCTTTCTAGTTTTCATTTGAACATACTTCCTTTTTGACTATAGGCCTCAATATCCTCCCTAATATCCCTTTGCAGATTGTAGAAAAACAATCTTTCCAAACTCCTTGATGAAAAGAAAGGATTAACTCTGTGAGATGAATGCAAACATCACAAAGTAGTTTCTCAGAAAGCTTCTGTCTAGTTTGAATCTGGAGATATTCCTATTTCAACATAGGCCTCAATGCCCTCTGAAATATCCCTTCACAGATTTTAAAAAAACACTCAAAAGAATGGCTTAGCTCTGTGAGATGCATGCTCACATCACAAAGAAGTTTCTCAGAAACATTCTTTCTAGTTTGTAGAGGAACATATTTCCTTATTAACCACAGGCCCCAATGCGCTTCCCTAATATGCCTTAACAGATTCTACAAAAAACGTGTTTCCAAACTGCTCCATCAAAAAAATGGTTCCACTTTGTGAGATGTATGCACAAATCACAAAGCAGTTTCTCTGAAAACTTCTGTCTAGTATGTATGGGAAAATATTTCCTTTTTCACCGTAGCCCTCAATGCACTCCCAAATATCCCTTCACAGATTCTAGAAAAACAGTCTCTCCCAACAGCTCAATCAAAAGAAAGCTTTAGCTGTGTGAGATGAATGCACACATCACAAAGATGTTTTTCAGAAAGCTTCTCTCTAGTGCGTATCTGCAGATATTTCCTTTCTCACCATAGGCCTTAAGGTGCTCTCAAATATCCCTTTGCAAATTCAACAAAACTGTGGTTCCAAATTGCTCAATCATAACAAAGTTTTAACTGTGTGAGATGAATGCCCACATCACAAGTCAGTTTCTCAGAATGCTTCTATCTAGTTTGTATCTGAAGATATATCCTTTTTCACCATAGGCCTCAATTCGCTCCCAAATATCCCTTCTCAGATTCCACAAAAAAGCAGGTTTCCAAACTGCTCCATCAAAAAAAAGGTTTAACTCTGAGAGATGAATGCATATATCACAAATCAACTTCTCAGAAAGCTTCTTTCCAGCTTTTATGTGAAGATATTTCCTTTTTCACTGTATAACTCAATGCACTCCCAAATAGTCTTTTGCAGATGGTAGAAAACAGTTTTTCCAGACTTGTCAATGAAAAGAAAGGTTTAACTCTGTGAGATGAATGCACACATCACAAAGCAGTTTCTCAGAAAGCTTCTGTCTAGTTCATATTTGAAGATATTTCTTTTTTCACTGTAAGAATCAATGGGTTCCCAAATATCCCTTTTCGGATTCTACAAAAACATTGTTTCCAAACTGCTCAATCAAAAGAAAGTTTAACTCTCTGAGATAAATGCACACGTCACAAAGCTGTTTCTCAAAAAGCTTTTTTCTAATTTATATGTCTGGTTATTTTCTTTTTCACCTTAAGACACAAAGGGCTGCACAATATCCCTTTGCAGATTCTACAAACAGTGTGTTTCCAAACTTCTCAATCAAATGCAGATTTAACTTTGTGAGATGAATGCACACATCACAAACCAGTTTCTCTGAAACTTTCGTTCTAGTTTCTATAGAAGATATTTCCTTTTTTACCATAGGCCTCAATGTGCTCCCAAATATCCCTTCACAGAATCTAGAGAAAAAGTACTTCCAAACTGCTCAATCAAAAGAAATATTTAACTCTGTGATATGAATGGATAGAAGACAGAGCAGTTTCTCAGAAAGCTTCTTTCTAGTTTTTATGTGAAGATATTTCCTTTTTGACTATAGGCCTCAAAGGGCTCCTAAATATCCCTTTGCAGATTATACAAAAACAGTATTTCCAATCTGCTCAATCAAAAGAAAAGTTTAACTCTGTGAGACGAATGCACACCTCAGGAAGCAGTTTCTCAGAATCTTTCTTTCTAGTTTTTATCAGAAGTTATTTCCTTTTTCACCATAGGACTCAAGGCCCTCCCAAATATCCCTTTGCAGTTTCTGCAAAAAGAGTGTTTCCAAACTGCTCAATCAAAGGAATGGTTGAACTCTATGAGATGAATGCACACATGATGAAGCAGTTTCTCAGAAAGCTTCTTTCTAGTTTTTATGTGAAGATATTTCCTTTTTCACCATGGGCCTCGATGCACTCCCAAATATCCCTTTGCAGATTCTACGAAACAGTGTTTCCAAACTGCTGAATGAAAAAAAGGTTTAACTCTGAGAGATGAATGCACACATCACAAAGATGTTTCTGAGAATGCTTCTGTATAATTTGTGTCTGAAGATGTATCCTATTTCACCATAGGCCTCAATGCGCTGCCAAATATCCTTTCACAGATTCTACATTAACCAAAAACCACATGTTCTTGTTTCTAGTTTTTATCTGAAGATATTTCCTTTTTCATCATTGTCTTCAATGTGCTCCCAAATATTCCTTTGCAGATTCTTCAAAAACAGTGTTTCCAAACTGCTGAATCAAAAAGGTTTAACCCTGTGAGATGAATGCAGATTTCACAAAGCAGTTTCTCATAAAGCATCTTTCTATTTTTTATGTGAACATATCTCCTATATCACCATAAGTGTCAATGCACTCCCAAATATCCATTCACAGATTCTACCAAAACACTGCCACAAACTGTGCAATCAAAAGAAAGTTTTAACTCTGTTAGATGAAAGCTCACATCAGAAAGCAGTTTCTCAGAAAGTTTCTTTATAGTTTGTGTCCAAAGATATTTTGTTTTTCACCATAGGCCTCAATGTGCTCCCAAATATCCCTTACAGATTTTACCAAAGCAGTGTTTCCAAACTCCTCAATCAAAGGAAAGTTAACTCTGTGACAGGAATGCACATGTCACACAGCAGTTTCTCAGAAAGTTTCTTTCTTGATTTTATATGAACCTATTTCCTTTATCACCATAGGCCTCAATGCACTCCCAAATATCCCTTTGCAGATTCTACAAAAACAGTGTTTCCAAACTGGTCAATCAAAAGAAAGTTTGAACTCTGTGAGATGAATGCACACATAAAAAGGCAGTTTCTCAGAAAGCGTCTTTCTACTTTTTCCCTAAAGATATTTCCTTTTTCACCATAGGCCTCATTTGCTCCCAGTCAAAAGAAAGGTTTAACTCTGTGAGATGAATGCACTCATAATAAAGCAGTTTCTCAGAAAGCTTCTTTCTAGTTTTTCCGTGAGGATATTTGCTTCTTCACTATAGGCCTCAAAGGGCTCCCAAATATACCTTTGTAGATTCTACAAAAACAGTGTTTCCTAACTGCTAAATCAGAAGTAAGCTTTAACTCTGTGAGATGAATGTATGCATCACAAAGCAGTTTCTCAGAAAGCTTCTTTCAAGTTTGTATTGGTAGATATTTCCTTTTTCACCACAGGCTTCAATGAGCTCCCACATAACCATTCACAGATTAAACCAAAACAATGTTTCAAAATGCTCAATCAAAGGAAAGTTTTAACTCTGTGTGATGAATGCACACATCACAAAGCAGTTTCTCTGAAAGCTTCTTTGTAGTTTTTACATGAAGATATTTCCTTTTTCACCAAAAGACTTATTGCGCTCCCAAATGTTTTTTCACTGTTTCTGCAAAAACTGTTCACAAACTGCTCAATCAAAAGAAAGGATTAACACTGTGGAAGGAATGCACACATTGCAAAGCAGTTTCTCAGAATGCTTTTTTCTAGTTTTTATCTGAAGATATTTCCCTTTTCACTATAGACCTCAATGAACTCACAAATATCCCTTCTTAGTTTCTATAAAAACAGTGTTTCCAAACTCCTCAATCAAAATAATGGTTTAACTCTGTGATATGAATTCACACTTCAGATAGCAGTTGCTCAGAATTCTTTTCTCTAGTTTGCATTTGAAGATATTTCCTTTTTCACCACAGGGCTGAATGTGCTCCCAAATATCCCTTCACAGATTCTACAAAAACAGTGTTGCCAAACTGCTCAATCAAAAGAAAGGTTTAAAACTTTGAGTTGAGTGCACGCATCACAAACCAGTTTCTCAGAGCTTCTTTGTAGTTTTTCTCTGAAGATGTTTTCTTTTTCACCATAGGCCTCTATGTGCTCCAAAATATCCCTTCAGAGATTCTACAAACACGGTGTTTCCAAAGTGCTCAATCAAAAGAAAGTTTTAACTCTGTGAGATGAATGCATACATAAAAAGCTAGTTTCTCAGAAATCTTCTTTCTACTTTTTCTCTGAAGATACTTCCTTTTTCACCATAGACCTCATTCGCTCCCAAATATCCCTTTGCAGATTCTCCAAAAACAATGTTTCCAAACTGCTCCAACAAAAGGAAGGTTTAAGTCTGCCAGATGAATGCACACATCACAAAGCAGTTACTCAGAAACCTTCTTTCCAGTTTTTATCTGAAGATATTTCCCTTTTCACCATAAGTCTCAAAGTGCTCCCAAATATCACTTCTCACATTTTACAAAAACAGTTTTGAAACTGGTCAATCAAAAGCAAGTTTGAACTGTGTGATATGTGATATGAATGCACACATCACAAAATGGTTTCTCAGAAAGCTTCTTTCTAGCTTTTCTCCAAAGACATTTCCTTTCTCTCCTTAGGCCTCAATGTGCTGCTACATATCCCTTCACAGATTATAAAAAACAGGGTTACAAAACTGCTCAATCAAAAGAAAGATTTAACTCTGTGAGATGAATGCACTCATCACAAAGCAGTTTCTCAGAAAGCTTCTGTTTAGTTTTTCTCTGAAGCTATTCCCTTTTTCATCATAGGCTTCAATGAGCTCGCAAATATCCTTTCACAGATTCTACAAAAGCAGTGTTTCCAAACTGATCAATCAAAAGAAAGGTTTAACTCTGTGAGGTGATTGACACATCACAAGGCAGCTTCTCAGACAGCTTCTTTCTAGTGTTTATGGGAAGATATTTCCTTTTTCACCATAGGCCTCAATTCACTCCCAAATATCCCTTCACCGATTGTACAAAAACAGTGTTTCCAAACTGTTCCATCAAAAGAAAGGTTTAACTCTGTGAGATGAACAGACACATCACAAAGCAGTTTCTCAGAAGCTTCCTTCCTGTGTTTATCTAAAGATATTTCCTTTTTGACCATAGGCCTCAATGCACTTTCAAATGTCTCTTCTCAGATTCTACAAAAACAGTGTTTCCAAACTTCTCAAATATAGAAAAATTTAACTCTGTGAGAGGAATGGACACATCACAAAGTGGTTTCTCAGAGAGCTTCCTTCTAGTTTTTATCTGAACATATTTCCTTTTCCACCATGTGCCTCAATGTGCTCCCAAATATCCCTTCACAGATTGTACAAAAACATTGTTTCCAAACTGCTCAATCAAAAGAAAAGTTTAACTCTGTGAGATGAATGGACACATCACAAAACGGTTTTTCAGATAGCTTCTTTCTGGTTTTTATCTGAAGATATTTCCTTTTTCACTATAAGCCTCAATGCATTCCCAAATATCTCTTCACAGACTACAAAAACAGTGTTTCCAAACTGCTCAAACAAAAGAAAGGTTTTACTCTGTGATATGTGATATAAATGCACATATTTCAAAGCAGTTTCTTAGAAATCTTCTTTCTAGTTTTTCTCTGAAGATATTTCCTTTTACACTGTGGGCCTCAATGCACTCCCACATATCCCTTCACATATTGTACAAAAACAGGGTTACAAAACTGCTCAATCAAAAGAATGGTTTAACTCTGTGAGATGAATTCACTCATTATGAAGCACTTTCTCAGAAAGTTTCTGTCCAGTTTTTGTCTGAAGATACTTCCTTTTTCACCATAGGCCTCTATGTGCTCCAAAATATCCCTTTGTAGATGCTACATAAAAAGTGTTTCCAAGCAGCTCAATCAAAAGACAGATTTAACTCTCTGAGGTGAATGCACACATCACAAACAGTTTCTCAGAAAGCTTCTTTCTAGTTTTTCTCTGAAGGTATTTCCTTTTTCACTGTAGGCCTCAATGTGCTTCCAAATATCCCTTAACAGTATAGTTTGAAGTCAGGTAGCGTGATGCCTCCAGCTTTGTTCTTTTGGCTTAGGATTGCCTTGGCAATGCGGGCTCTTTTTTGGTTCCATATGAACTTTAAAGTAGTTTTTTCCAATTCTGTGAAGAAAGGCATGGGTAGCTTGATAGGGATAGCATTGAATCTGTAAATTACCTTGGGCAGTATGGCCATTTTCATGATGTTGATTCTTCCTCCCCATGAGTGTGGAATGTTCTTCCATTTGTTTGTATCCTCTTTTATTTCCTTGAGCAGTGGTTTGTAGTTCTCATTGAAGAGGTCCTTCACATCCCTTGTAAGTTGGATTCCTAGGTATTTTATTCTCTTTGAAGCAATTGTGAATGGGAGTTCACTCATGATTTGTATCTCTGTTTGTCTGCTGTTGGTGTACAAGAATGCTTGCGATTTTTGTACATTGATTTTGTATCCTGAGACTTTGCTGAAGTTGCTTATCAGGTTAAGGAGATTTTGGGCTGAGACAGTGGGGTTGTCTAGATATACAATCATGTCATCTGCAAACAGGGACAATTTGACTCCCTCTTTTCCTAATTGAATACCCTTTATTTCCTTCTCCTGCCTAATTGCCCTGGCCAGAACTTCCAACATTATGTTGAATAGGAGTGGTGAGAGAGGGCATCCCTGTCTTGTGCCAGTTTTCAAAGGGAATGCTTCCAGTTTTTGCCCATTCAGAGTGATATTGGCTGTGGGTTTGTCATAGATTGAGAGTTTTTAGCATGAAGAGTTGTTGAATTTTGTTACAAGGCTACAGTAACCAAAACAGCATGGTACTGGTACCAAAACAGAGATATAGATCAATGGAACAGAACAGAGCCCTCAGAAATAATGCCACATATCTACAACCATCTGATCTTTGACAAACCCTGAGAAAAACAAGCAATGGGGAAAGGATTCCCTATTTAATAAATGGTGCTGGGAAAACTGGCTAGCCATATGTAGAAAGCTGAAACTGGATCCCTTCCTTACACCTTATACAAAAATCAATTCAAGATGGATTAAAGACTTAAACGTTAGACCTAAAACCATAAAAACCCTAGAAGAAAACCTAGGCAATACCATTCAGGACATAGGCATGGGCAGGGACTTCATGTCTGAAACACCAAAAGCAATGGCAACAAAAGCCAAAATTGACAAATGGGATCTAATTAAACTGAAGAGCTTCTGCACAGCAAAAGAAACTACCATCAGAGTGAACAGGCAACCTACAGAATGGGAGAAAATTTTCACATCCTACTCATCTGACAAAGGGCTAATATCCAGAATCTACAATGAACTCAAACAAATTTACAAGAAAAAAACAAACAACCCCATCAAAAAGTGGGTGAAGGATATGAACAGACACTTCTCAAAAGAAGACATTTATGCAGCCAAAAAACACATGAAAAATGCTCACCATCACTGGCCATCAGAGAAATGCAAATCAAAACCACAATGAGATACCATCTCACACCAGTTAGAATGGCAATCATTAAAAAGTCAGGAAACAACAGGTGCTGGAGAGGATGTGGAGAAATAGGAACACTTTTACACAGTTGGTGGGACTGTAAACTAGTTCAACCATTGTGGAAGACAGTGTGGCGATTCCTCACGGATCTAGAACTAGAAATACCATTTGACCCAGCCATCCCATTGCTGGGTATATACCCAGAGAACTATAAATCATGCTGCTATAAAGACACATGCACACGTATGTTTATTTCGGCATTATTCACAATAGCAAAGACTTGGAACCAACCCAAATATCCAACAATGATAGACTGGATTAAGAAAATGTGGCACATATATACCATGCAATACTATGCAGCCATAAAAAATGATGAGTTCATGTCTTTTGTAGGGACATGGATCAAATTGGAAATCATCATTCTCAGTAAACTATCGCAAGAACAAAAAACCAAACACCGCATATTCTCACTCATAGGTGGGAATTGAACAGTGAGAACACATGGACACAGGAATGAGAACATCACACTTTGGGGACTGTTGTGGGGTGTGGGGAGGGGGGAGGGATAGCATTGGGAGATATACCTAATGCTAGATGACGAGTTAGTGGGTGCAGTGCACCAGCATGGCACATGTATACATATGTAACAAACCTGCACAATGGGCACATGTACCCTAAAACTTAAATAATAATAATAATAATAATAATAATAATAATAATAATAATAAAACAAATATCCCTTTACAGATTCTACATAAACAGTGTTTCCAAACTGCTCCATGAAAGGAAATGTTTAATTCTGTTAGGTGAATTCACCCAACACAGAGCAGTTTCTCAGAAAGCTTCTTTCTAGTTTTTCTGTGAAGATATTTCCTTTTTCACCATAGGCCTCAATGAAATCCCAAATATCCCTTTGCAGATTCTACATGGTATTTCCAAACTGCTCTATGTGGAAAAGAAAGAGAGATCAGATTGTTACTGTGTCTATGTAGAAGGAATTAGATAAAAGAAACTCTATTTTGTTCTGTACCAAGAGAAATTCTTCTGCCTTGAGATGCTGTTAATCTCTAACCCTAGCCCTAACCCTGTGCCCACATAGGCATGTGGTGTGTTGACTCAAGGTTTAATGGATTTAGGGCTGTGCAGGATGTGCTTTGTTGAAAATGTGTTTGAATGCACTATGCTTGGTAAAAGTCATTACCATTCTCTAATCTCGAGTAGCCAGGGACAGAATGCACTGCAGAAACCTGCAGGGACCTCTGCCCAGGAAAGCCGGGTATTGTCCAAGGTTTCTCCCCATGTGATAGCCTGAGGTATGGCCTCATGGGAGGGAAAGACCTGTCTATTCCCCAGCCCGACACCTGTAAATGATCTGTGCTGAGGAGAATTAGTGAAAGTGGAAGATTTCTTTGCAGTTGAGATAAGAGGAAGGCATCTGTCTCCTTCTCGTCCCTGGGAATGGAATCTCTTGGTGTAAAACCCGATTGCCAGTTCTATTTACTGAGAAAGGGGAGAATGGCCTTATGGCTGGAGGTGAGACATGGTGGCAGCAGTACTGCTCTTTAATGCACCGAGATGTTTGTGTAGAGTCAAACATAAATCTGGCCTATGTGCACATCAAGGCACAACTTTTCCTTAAACTTATTTTTGACACAGAGATCTTTGCTCACATGTTTTCCTACTGAATCTCTCCCTACTATTACCCTATAGTCCTGCCACATCCCCCTCTATGAAATGGTAAAGATAGTGATCAATATATACTAAGGGAGCTGAGAGGCCAGTGAAGGCGTGGGTCCTCCCTGTGCTGAGTGCCAGTCCCCTGGCCCCACTGTTCTTTCTCTACACTTTGTCTCTGTGTCTTATTTCTTTTCTCAGTCTCTCATCCTACCAGATGAGAAACATCCACTGGTGTGGAGGGGCTGTCCCCCGTCATCTTGTGCCCAACGAGGGTGCTTTTCTCTAGGTTGAAGTTACGCTAGAACATGGTCATTGAGGACAAGTAGAAGAGACATTCCCGAGTAAGTCCACAGTCAGCCTTGTGGTAAGATTGTGTGTGCTCAGAGCAACCCAGGGTAACAATGGTACAAACTGACAGTAAATATTCCTTTTATCTAGCTTTATTGAAATTCTTTTAAAAAGAGGGGGAGTTAGAGTCTCTACAGAAAACCTAATCACACTATTTGAAACAATAGAACAATTCTGCCCATTGCTTCCAGAACAGGGACTTTTAGATATAAAAGATTGGGAAAAAATTGGCATAGAATTAAAACAAGAAAATAAGGAGGGTAAAATCATCCCACTTACAGTATGGAATGATTGGTCCATTATTAAAGCAGCTTTAGAACCTTTTCAAATAGGAGAAGATAGCTTTTCAGTTTCTGATACCCCTGAAAGCTGTGTAATAGATTGTGAAGGAGAGGCAGGGACAGAATCCTGGAAAGGAATGGAAAGTTCACATTGTAAATATGTAGCAGAGTATGTAATGGCTCAGTCAACGCAAGGTGTTGACTACAATCAACTACAGGAGGTAATATATCCTAAAACATTAAAATTAGAAGAAAAAGGTACAGAATAAATGGGACCATCAGAGTCTAAACCACGATGACCAACTCCTCTTCCAGCAGTTCAGATGTCTGTAACATTACAACCCCAAATGCAGGTTAGACAAGTACAAACCCCAAAAGAATACCAAATAAAAAAAGATAGAGTCTCTGTCATGGCAATGCCAATCCAAATACAGTGTCCACAATATCAGCTGATAAAAAATAAGACCCAACCTCTGGTGGCCTATCAATACTGGCCACCAGCCAAACTTCAGTATTGGCCACCCCCAGAAAATCAGTATGGACAGCCAGGAATGTTTCCAGTACCACAGGGAATAGCGCTATACCTTTATATGAGAACATTATTAGATTCCATTGCTTATGGACATAGACTCATTCCTTATGATTGGCAGATTTTGGCCAAATCATCACTCTCACCCTCGCAAATTTTACAACATAAGACTTGGTGGATTGATGGGGCTCAAGAACAAGTCCGAAAAAATAGGGCTGCCAATCCTCCAGTTAACATAGATGCAGATCAACTATTAGGAACAGGTCAAAATTGTTACACTACTAATCAACAAGCAGTAATGCAAAATGAGGCCATTGAGCAAGTTAAAGCTATCTGCCTTAGGGCCTGGAAAAAAATCCAAGGCCCAGAAACCACCTGCCCCTGATTCAATAGAATAAGATAAAGCTATAAAGAGCCCTATCCTGATTTTGTGGCAAGACTCCAAGATGCTGCTCAAAGGTCAATTCCTGATGAAAATGCCTGTAAGTTCATAGTGGAGTCGATGGCATATGAAAATGCCAATCCTGATTGTCAATCAGCCATTAAGGCATTAAAATGGAAGTTCACGGCAGGATCAGATGTAATCTCAGAGTAGGTAAAAGCCTGTGATGGAATTGGAGGAGCTATGCATAAAGCTATGCTTATGGCTCAAGCAATAATGGGAGTTGTTTTAGGAGGACAAGTTAGAACATTTGGGGGAAAATGTTATAATCGTGGTCAAATTGGTCATCTAAAAAAAAATTGCCCAGTCTCAAATGAACAAAATATAACAACTCAAGCCACTGCAACAACAGATAAAGAGCCACCTGGCCTATGTCCCAGATGTAAAAAAGGCAAACATTGAGCTAATCAATGTCGTTCTAAGTTTGATAAAAATAGACAACCATTGTCAGGAAACGAGAAGAGGGGCCACCCTCAGGCCCTGCAACAAACTGGGACATTCCCAATTCAGCCCTTTGTTCCTCAGGGTTTTCAGGGACAACAAACCCCACTGTCACTAGTGCCTCAGGGAAAGGGCCAGTTACCACAATACAACAAATGTCCCCTGGCGCAAGTGGCAGTGCAGCGGATTTATGTATATACAAGCAGTCTCTCTGCTTCCAGGGGAGCCCCCATAAGAAATCCTTACAGGAATGTATGGCCCACTGCCTAAAGGGACTGTAGGACTAATCTTAGGAAGATCAAGTCTAAATCTAAAGAGAGTTCAAATTCGTACTGGTGTGGTTGATTCAAACTACAAAGGCAAAATTCAATTGGTTATTAGCTCCTCAATTCCTTGGAGTGCCAGTCCAGGAGACAGAATTGCTCAATTATTACTCCTGCCTAATATTAAGGTTGGAAACAGTGAGATAAAAAGAACAGGAGGGTTTGGAAGCAGTGATCCAGCAGGAAAGACTGCATATTGGGCAAGTCAAGTCTCAGAGAGCAGACCTGGGTGTAAGGCCGTTATTCAAGGAAAACAGTTTGAAGGGTTAGTAGACACGGGGGCAGATGTCTCTATCATTTTTAAATCAGTGGCCAAAAAATTGGCCTAAACAAAAGGCTGTTACAGGACTTGTTGGCATAGGCACTTTCTCAGAGGTATATCAAAGTACTATGATTTTACATTGTTTAGGGCTGGATAATCAAGAAAATACTGTTCAGCAAATGATTACCTCAATTCCTGTTAGTCTGTGGGGTCGAGATTTATTACAAAAATGGGGTGCAGAAATCACTATGCCCACTCCATTATACTGCCCCACGAGTTAAAAAATCAAGACTAAAATGGGATATGTACCAGGAAAGGGACTAGGAAAAAATGAAAATGGCATTAAGGTCCCAATTGAGGCTGAGGGAAATCAAGAGAGAAAATGAATACGGTTTCCTTTTTAGGGGTGGCCACCATAGAGCCTCCTAAACCAATTCCATTAACTTGGAAAACAGAAAAACCGGTATGGGTAAATTGGTGGTCACTACCAAAACAAAAACTAGAGGCTTTACATTTATTAGCAAAAGAACAATTAGAAAAGGGACATATTGAGCCTTCATTCTCACCTTGGAATTTTCCTGTGTTTTTAATTCAGAAAAAATCCGGTAGATGGCGTATGTTAACTGACTTAAGGGACGTAAATGCCACAATTCAACCCATGGGCCCTCTCCAACCCGGGTTGCATTCTCCGGCCATGATCCCAAAAGACTGGTCTTTAATTATAATTGATCTGAAGGATTACTTTTTTACCATTCCTCTGGCGGAGCAGGATTTTGAAAAATTTCCCTTTACTATACCAGCCATAAATAATAAAAAACAAGCCACCAGGTTTCACTGGAAAGTGTTACCTCAGAGAATGCTTAATGCTCCAACTATTTGTCAGACTTCCATAGGTCAAGCTCTTCAACCAGAGACAAGTTTTCAGACTGTTACATCATTCATTATGTTGATGATATTTTGTGTGCTGCAGAAACGAGAGACAAATTGACTCTTACACATTTCTGCAAGCAGAGGTTGCCAACGCAGGACTGGCAATAGCATCTGATAAGATTCAAACATCTACTGCTTTTCATTATTTGGGATGTAGACAGAAAATAGAAAAACTAAGCCACAAAAAATAGAGATAAGAAAAGACACATTAAAAATGACTTTCAAAAATTGCTAGGAGACATTAATTGGATTCGGTCAACTCTAGGCATTCCTACTTATGCCATGTCAAATTTGTTCTCTATGTTAAGAGGAGACCCTGACTTAAATAGTAAAAGAATATTAACCACAGAGGCAACAAAAGAAATTAAATTAGTGAAAGAAAATATTCTGTCAGAACAAATAAATAGAATAGATCCCTTAGCCCCACACCAACATTTGATTTTTGCTACTGCATCTTCTTCAACAGGCATCATTATTCAAAACACTGATCTTGTGGAGTGGTCATTCCTTCCTCACAGTACAATTAAGACTTTTACATTGTACTTGGATCAAATAGCTACATTAATTGGTCAGGAAAGATTACAAATAATAAAATTGTGTGGAAATGATCCAGACAAAATAGTTGTTCCTTTAAACAAGGAACAAGTTAGAGAAGTTTTATCAATTGTGGTGCATGGCAGATCGGTCTTGCTAACTTTGTGGGAATTATTGAAAATCATTAAACAAAAACAAAAATCTTCCAGTTTTTAAAATTGACTACTTTGATTTTACCCCAAATTACCAGACATAAACCTCTAGAAAATGCTCTGACAGTGTTTACTGACTGTTCCAGCAATGGAAAAGCAGATTACACAGAGCCAAAAGAGCGAGTCATCAAACCTCACTATCAATCGGCTCAAAGAGCAAAGTTGGTTGCAGTCATTACAGTGTTACAAGATTTTAATCAACCTATTAATATTGTATCAGATTTTGCCTATGTAGTACAGGCTACAAGGGATGTTGAGACAGCTCTAATTAAATATAGCGTGCAAGATCAGTTAAACCGGCTGTCCAATTTATTACAACAAACTGTAAGAAAAAGAAATTTCTCATTTTATATTGCTCATATTTGAGTACACACTAATTTACCAGGGCCTTTAACTAAAGCAAATGAACAAGCTGTCTTACTGGTATCATCTGCATTCTTAAAAGCACAAGAACTTCATGCTTTGACTCAAGTAAATGCAGCAGGATTAAAAAACAAATTTGATGTCACATGGAAACAGGCAAAAAGTATTGTACAGCATTGCATCCAGTGTCAAGTCCTACACTTGCCCACTCAAGAGGCACGAGTTAATCCCAGAGGTCTGTGTCCTAATGTGTTATGGCAAATGGATGTCACGCATGTACCTTCATTTGAAAGATTATCATGTGTCCATGTAAGAGTTGATACTTATTCACATTTCATATGGGCAACATGCCAGACAGGAGAAAGTACTTCCCATGTTAAAAAAACATTTCTTATCTTGTTTTGCTGTCATGGGAGTTCCAAAAAAATTAAAACTGACAAGGGACCAGGACTGTAGTACAGCTTTCCTAAAATTCTTAAATCAGTGGAAAATTACACGTACCAGAGGAATTCTGTATAATTCCCAAGGGCAGGCCATAATTAAAAGAACAAATGGAACACTCAAAACTCAATTGGTTAAACAAAAAGAAGGGGCAGACAGTAAGGAGTGTTCCACTACTCAGATGCAACTTAATCTAGCACTCTATACTGTAAGTTTTTTAAACATTTATAGAAATCAGACTACTACCCCTGCAGGACAGCATCTTACTGATAAAAAGAACAGCCCACATGAAGAAAAACTGATTTGGTGGAAAGAAAACAAAAATAAGACGTGGGAAATAGAGGAGGTGGTAACGTGGGGGAGAGGTTTTGCTTGTGTTTCACCAGGAGAAGATCAGCTTTCTGTTTGGATACCCACTAGACATTTGAAGCTCTACAATGAACCCATCGGGGATGCAAAGAAAAGAGCCTCCACAGAGATGGAAACACCACAATCGAGCACCATTGACTCACAAAATGAACAAAATGGTGATGTCAGAAGAACAGATGAAGTTGCCATCCACCAAGAAAGCGGAGCTGCTGACTTGGGCACAATTAAAGAAGCTGACACAGTTAGCTAAAAAAAAAAGCCTAGAGAACACAAAGGTGATACAAACTCCAGAGAATATTCTCCTTGCAGCTTTGATGATTGTATCCACGATGGTAAGTCTCCCCATGTCTGCAGGAGCCGCTGCAGCTAATTATACCTACTGGGCCTATGAGCCTTTCCCACCCTTAATTTGGGCCATCACACGGATGGATAATCCTATTGAAGTATATGTTAATAATAGTGCATGTGTACCTGTCCCCACAGGTGATCGTTGCCCTCCCAAACCTGAGGAAGAAGGAATGATGATAAATATTTCCACTGGGCATCGTTATCCTCCTATGTGCTTAGGGAGAGCACCAGGATGTTTAATGCCTGCAATCCAAAATTGGTTGGTAGAAGAACCTACTGTCAGTACCACCAGTAGATTAACTTATCACATGGTAAGTGGAATGCCACTCAAGCCACAAGTAAATTATTTAAAGGACTTTTCTTATCAAAGATCATTAAAATTTAGGCCTAAAGGGAAACCTTGCCCCAAGGAAATTCCCAAAAGATCAAAAGTACAGAAGTTTTAGTTTGGCAAGAAAGTGTGGCCAATAGTGTGATGATATTATGGAACAATGAATTTGGAATTATTATAGACTGGGCACCTCGAGGTCAATTCTGCCACAATTGCACAAGACAAACCCAGTCGTGTCCCAGTGCACAAGTGAGTCCAGCTGTTAATAGTGACTTAATAGAAAGTTTGGACAAACATAAGCACAAAAAATTATAGTCTTTCTGCCATTGGGAATGGTGACAAAAAGGAATCTCTACTCCAAGACAACAAATACTAAGCCTTGTTTCTGGCCCTGAACATCAGAATTAAGGAGGCTTACTGTGGCCTCATACCGCATTAGAATTTGGTTTGGATATCAAGCTATAGAAAAAAAGATCACAAGCCATTTTATACTATCGCCCTAAATTCCAGTCTAACAGTTCCTTTAAAAAGTTTTGAAAGCCCCCTTATATGCTAGTTGTAGGAAATATATTCATTAAACCAGACTCGCAAACTATAACCTGTGAAAATTGCAGATTGTTAAATTGCATTGATTCGACTGTTAATTGGCAGCACTGTATTCTGCTAGTGAGAGCAAGAAAAGGCTCTCTGAGAAATTGCTTTTTGATGTGTGCATTCATCTCACAGAGTTACATCTTTCTTTTCATTGAGCAGTTTGGAAATATTGTTTTTGTGGAATCTGCAAAGGGATAATAAGGAAGGCCTTAAGGCCTATGGTGAAAAAGGAAATATCTTCAGAAAAAACTTGAAAGAAGCATTCTGAGAAACTGCTTTGTGATATGCATTTTCATCTCAAACTGTTAAACCTTTGTTTTGATTGAGCAGCTTAGAAACACTATTATGTAGAATCTGTGAAGGGATGTGTGGGATCACATTGAGGCTTATGGTGAAAAAGGAAATGTGCTCAGATAAACATTAGAAAGAAGATTTCTGAGAAACTGCTCTGTGATGTGTGCACTCATCTCACAGATTTAAACTTTTCTTTTGATTGAGCAGGATTGTGGACCCAGGATTGTGGATCCCTGTGTCCCTGGACTGACCGTGGGAGGCCTTGCCATCCATCCATATTTTGACTGAAGTATTAAAAGGCAATCTAAATAGATCCAAAAGGTTCATTTTTACTTTAATTGCAGTGATTATGGGATTAATTGCAGTCACAGCTATGGCTGCTGTGGTAGGAGTTGCATTGCACTCTTCTGTTCAGACAGTAAACTTTATTAATAATTGTCAAAAAAAATTCTACAAGACTGTGGAATTCACAATCTGGTATTGATCAAAAATTGGCAAATCAAATTAATGAGCTTAGACAAATGGTCATTTGGATAGGAGATACGCTCATGAGCTTAGAACATAGTTTCCAGTTATAGTGTGACTGGAATACATCAGATTTTGTATTACACCCCGAGTTTATAATGAGTCTGAGCATCACTGGGACATGGCTAAAGACCATCTACAGGGAAGAGAAGATAATCTCACTTTAGACATTTCCAAATTAAAAGAACAAGTTTTCAAAGCATCAAAAACTCATTTAAATTTGGTACCAGGAACTGAGGCAATCGCAGGAGTTGCTGATGGCCACACAAATCTTAACCCTGTCACTTGGGTTAAGACCATTGGAAGTTCTACTATTGTAAATTTCATATTAATCTTTGTGTGCCTGTTCTGTCGGTTGTTAGTCTGCAGGTGTACCCAGCAGCTCTGAAGTGACAGCAACCATTGAGAACAGGCCATGATGATGATGGTGGTATTGTCGAAAAGAAAAGGGGGAAATATGGGGAAATGAGAGAGTGATCAGACTGTTACTGTGTCTATGTAGAAAGTAGTAGACATAAGAAACTCCATTTTGTTCCACACTAAGAGAAATTCTCCTGCCTTGAGATGCTGTTAATCTGTAACCCTAGCCCCAACCTGTGCTTGCAGAGACACGTGATGTGTTGACACATGGTTTAATGGATTTAGGTCTGTGCAGGATATGCTTTGTTAAAAAAGTGCTTGAAGGCAGGCCACAGGGACCTCTCTCCAGGAAAGCCAGGTAATCTCCAAGGTTTCTCCCCATATGAACACCTGAGATATGGCCTTGTGGGAAGGGAAAGACCTGACCATCCCCTAGCCTGGCACCCATAAATGGTCTGTGATGAGAAGGAATAGTGAAAGAGGAAGGCTTCTTTACAATAGAGATAAGTGGAAGGCATCTGTTTCCTGCTCATCCCTGAGAATGGAATGTCTCGGTGTAAAACCCGGTTGTATGTTCTGTTTACTGAGATAGCAGAAAACCGCCTTATGGCTGGAGGTGAGACATGCTGGTGGCAATACTGCTCTTTAAGGCACTGAGATGTTTGTGTAAAGTCAAACATAAATCTGGCCTACATGCCCATCAAGTCACAGCCCGTTTCCTTAAACTTATTTATGACACAGAGATCTTTGCTCACATGTTTTCATGCTGAACATTTCCCCATCATTACCCTATACCCTCAACCCCCTGTCTGAGATGGTAGAGATAGTGATCAATAAATAATGAGGGAACTCAGAGACCAGTGCAGGCACAGGTCCTCTGTATGCTAAGCTCCTGTCCCCTGGGCCCATGTTCTTTTTCTATACTTTGTCTCTGTGTCTTATTTCTTTTCTCAGTCTCTCTTACCACCGGATGAGAAACACCCACATGTGAGGAGGGGATGGCCCCTTCAGTAGGCCTCAATGTGCTCCCAAGTATCCCTTGGCAGATTCTACAAAAGCAGTGTTTCCAAACTGCTCAATCAAAATAAAGGTTTAACTGTCAGGTGAATGCAGACATCACAAAGGAGTTTCTCAGAAAGCTTCTTTCTAGTTTTTATCTGAAGATATTTCATTTTTCCCCATAGGTCTCAATGCGCTCCCAAATATCCCTTCACAGATTCTACAAAAACTGTGTTTCCAAACTGCTCAATCAAAAAACAGCCTTAATGCTGTGAGATGAATGCACACAACACAAAACAGTTTCTAAGAAAGCTTATTTCTAGTTATTATCTGGGGATATTTCCTTTTTCACCATAGGCCTCAATATGTCCCCAAATATCCCTTCCCAGATTCTACAAAAACAGTGTCCCAAACTGCTCAATCAAAAGAAAGTTTTAACTCTGTGATATGAATGCAAACATCACAAAGCACTTTCTCTGAAAGTTTCTTTCCAGTTTTTATCTGAAGATATTTCCTTTTTCACCATAGGCCTCAAAGGGCTCCCAGATGTCTCTTCACAGATTCTACAGAAACAGTTTCCAAGCTGCTCAATCAAAATAAACGTTTAACTCTGTGAGATGGATGCACTCATCACAAAACAGTTTCTCAGAAAGCTTCTGTTAGTTTTTATCTGAAGGTATTTCCTTTTTCACCATATGCCTCAATGCGCTCCAAAATATCCCTTCACAGATTCTACAAAAACAGTGTTGCCACACTGCTACATTAAAAGAAGGATTTAACTCTGTGATATGAATGCACTCATCAAAATGCAGTTTTTCAGAAACCTTCTTTCTAGTTTTTATCTGAGCATATTTCCTTTTTCACCATTGGCCTGAATGCATTCCCAAATATCCGTTTGCAGATTCTACAAAAACAGTGTTTCCAAACTGCTCAATCAAAGGAAAGGTTTAACAGTGTGAGATGAATGCACACATCACAAAGTGGTTTCTCAGAAGGCTTCTTTCTAGTTTTTATCTGAAGATATTTCCTTTTGCACAATAAGCCTTAATGTGCTCCCAATTATCCCTTTGCAGATTCTACAAAAACAGTATTTCAAAACTGCTCAATCAAAGCAAAGTTTTATCTCATTGAGATGAATGCACACATCAAAAAGCAGTTTCTCAAAACTTCTTTCTAGTATTTATCTGAAGATATTTCCCTTTTCACTATAGGCCTCAAAGATATCTGAAATAACACTTGGCAGATTCTACAAAAACAGTGTTTCCAAATGGCTGAATCAAAAGAAAGTTTTAATTGTAAGATGAATGCACACATCACAAGTCATTTCTCAGAAAGTTTCTCTCTAGTTTTTACCTTAAGATATTTACTTTTTCACCAGAGGCCTCAACGCACTCCCAAATATGTCTTTGCAGATTCTTCAAAAAGAGTGTTTCCAAACTCTAGAATCAAAAGACTGGTTTAACTCTGTGAGATGAATGACCACATCACAAAGCAATATGTGAGAAAGCTTCTTTCTAGTTTTTATCTGAAGATATTTCCTTTTTCACCATAGGCCTCAATGCACTCTCAAATATCTCTTCGCAGATTGTACAAAAACACTGTTTCCAAACTGCTCAATGAAAAGAAATGTGTAACTCTGTGAGATGAATGCCCTCATCACAGAGCAGTTTCTCAGAAAGCTTCTTTCTAGTTTTTGTCTGAGGATATTTCCTTTTTCACCACAGACCTCAATGCACTCCCAAATATCCTTTCACAGATTCTATAAAAACAGTGTTTCCAAACTGCTCAATGAAAAGAAAGGTGCAACTGTATGAGATAAATGCACACATCACAAAGCAGTTTTTCAGAAAGCTTCTTTCTAGTTTTTATATGAAGATGTTACCTTTTTCACCATAGGCCTCAAGGTGTTCCCAAATATCTCTTCACAGATTGTACAAAAACAAGGTTCAAAAATTGGTCAATCAAAAGAAAGGTGAAACTCTTTGAGATGAATGCACATATCAAAAACTAGTTTCTCAGAAAACTTCTTTCTCGTTTTTATCTGAGGATATTTCCTTTTCTGCCTTAGGCCTCAATGCACTCCCAAATATCCTTTCCCAGATTCTACAAAAACAGTGTTTTCAAACTGCTCAATCAAAAGAAAGGTTTAACTCTAAGAAGTGAATGCACATATCACAAAGCAGTTTCTCATAAAACTTCATTCTAGTTTTTATCTGAAGATATTTCCTGTTTACCATATGGCTCTATGTGCTCTCAAATATCCTTTCATAGATTCTAGAAAAAGTTTTTCCAAACTGCTCAATCAAAAGAAAGATTCAACACTGCGATATGAATGCATACATCACAAAGCAGTTTCTCACAAAGCTTTCTAGTATTTATGTGAAGATATTTCCTTTTTCACCTTAGACTTCTATGCACTCCCAAATATCCCTTCATAGATTCTGCAAAAACAGTGTTTCCGTATATCTCAATCAAAAGAAAGCTTCAACTCTGTGAGAGGAATGCTCACATCAAAAACAGTGTCTCAGAAACCTTCTTTCTAATTTTTATCTGGGGATATTTCCTTTTTCACTATAGGCCTCAATGCACTCTCAAATATCTCTTTGAAGATTGTACAAAAACAGTGTTTCCAAACTGCTCAATGAAAAGAAATGTGTAACCCTGTGAGATGAATGCCCTCATCACAGAGCAGTTTCTCAGAAAGCTTCTTTCTAGTTTTTGTCTGAGGATATTTCCTTTTTCACCACAGACCTCAATGTGCTCCCAAATATCCCTTCCCAGATTCTACAAGAACAGTGTTTCCAAACCGCTCAATCAAAACAAAGTTTCAACTCTGTGAGATGAATCCACACATCACAATGCTGATGAAGCTTCTTTCTATTTTTTACTTGAAGATATTTCCTTTTTCACCAAAGGCCTCAATGCCCTCCCAAAAATCCTTTTGTGGATTCTACAAAAACAGTGTTTCCAAACTGCTCAATCAAAAGAAAGGTTTAACTCTGTGAGTTGAATTTACACATCACAAAGCAGTTTCTCAGAAAGTTTCTTTCTATTTTTTTTCGAGAATACTTCCTTTTTCAGCACAGGACTTAGAGCATTCCCAAATTTCCCTGTGCTCCCAAATATTCCTTTGCAGACTTTACAAAAACAGTGATTCCAAACTACTCAATCAAAAGAAGGTTTAACGTGAGATGAATGCACACATCACAAACCCATGTCTCCATGAGGTTCTTTTTAGTTTTTATCTGAAGATATTTCATTTATCACCATAGACTTCAATGTGCTCTCAAATATTCCATGAGAGTTTCCACAAAAACAGTGTTTCTAATCTGCTCAATCAAAAGAAATGTTTAAATCTGTGAGAGGAATGCACACATGACAAAGCAGTATCTCAGAAAGCTTCTTTCTAGTTTTCATCTGAATATATTTCCTTTTTCACCACAGGCCTCAAATGTGCTCCCAAATATCCCTTCTCAGATTCTACAAAAACAGTGTTTCCAAACTGCTCAATGAAAAGAAAGGTTTCAATCAGTGAGATGAGTGCACACATCCAAAGGAGTTTCTCAGAAATCTTCTTTCTAATGTTTATATGAGCACATTTCCTTTTTCAACATAGGCCTCAATGCACTCCCACATATCCCTTCACAGATTCTACAAAAAAAGTGTTTCTAAGCTGCTCAATCAAAAGAAAGGTTTTACACTTTGAGATGAAAGTGCACATCACAAAGCAGTTTCTCAGAATGCTTCTTTCAAGTTTTTTTCTGAAGATATTTCCTTTCTCACCATAGGCCTTAAGGCGTTCCCAATTATCCTTTTACAGATTCCACAAAAACAATATTTCCAAACTGCTCAATGAAAAGAAAGATGTAACTCTGTGAGATGAATGCACATATCAAAAAACAATTTCTCAGAGAACATCTTTCTAGTTTTTATCTGAGGATATTCCCTTTTTCACCATAGGCCTCAATGCGCTCCCAAATATCCCTTCCCAGATTCTACAAAAACAGTGTTTCCACACTGCTCAACCAACAGAAATGTTTAACTCTATGAAATGAATGCACATATCACAAAGCAGTTTCTCATAACGCTTTTTACTAGTTTTTATCTGTATATCATTTTTCAGCAGATGCCTCAATGTGCTCCCAAATATCACTTCATAGATTCTACAAAAATAGCCTTTCCAAACTGCTCAATCAAAAGAAAGGTTCAACATTGTGATATGAATGCACACATCACAAAACAGTTTCTCACAAACTTCTTTCTAGTTTTTATGTGAAGATATTTCCTTTTTCGCCCCAGGCCTCTATGCACTGCCAAATATCCCTTCCCAGATTCTGCAAAAACAGTGTTTCCGTATATCTCAATCAAAAGAAAGCTATAATGCTGTGAGAGGAATGCTCCTGTCAGAAAGCAGTGTCTCAGAAAGCTTCCTTCTAGTTTTTATTTGAGGCTATTTCCTTTTTCACCATAGGCCTCAATGCACTCCTAAATATCCCTTCACAGATTGTACAAAAACAGTGTTTCCAAACTGCTCAATGAAATGTGTAACTCTGTGAGACGAATGCCCTCATCACAGGGCAGTTTCTCAGAAAGCTTCTTTCTAGTTTTTACCTGCAGATGTTTCCTTTTTCACAATAGACCTCAATGTGCTCCAAATATCCCTTCCGAGATTCTACAAAAACATTGTTTCCAAACTGCTCAATCCAAACAATGTTTAACTCTGTGAGATGAATCCACACATTGCAATGCAGTTTCTAATAAAGCTTCTTTCTATTTTTAATCTGAAGTGATTTTCTTTTCACCATAGGCGTCAATGCCCTCCCAAATATCCTTTTGTGGATTCTACAAAAACAGTGTTTCCAAACTGCTCCATCAAAAGAGATTTACCTTTGTGAGATGAATGCACACATCACAAAGCAGTCTCCCAGAAAGCTTCTTTCTAGTTTTTATCTTAAGATATTTCCTTTTTCACTGCTGGAGCCAAGATGGCTGAATAGGAACAGCTCCAATCTACAGCTCCCAGCGTGAGCAAAGCAGAAGACAGGTGATTTCCGCATTTCCATCTGAGGTACCAGGTTCATCTCACTAGGGAGTGCCAGACAGTGGGTGCAGGGCAGTGGGTGCAGCGCACCATGTATGAGCCGAAGAAGGGCGAGGCATTGCCTCACTTGGGAAGTGCAAGGGGTCAGGGAATTCCCTTTCCTAGTCAAATAAAGGGGTGACAGATGGCACCTGGAAAATCGGGTCACTCCCACCCTAATACTGTGCTTTTTTGATGGGCTTAAAAAACAGTGCACCAGGAGATTATATCCTGCACCTGGCTCAGAGGGTCCTATACCCACAGAGTCTCACTGATTGCTAGCACAGCAGTCTGAGTACAAGCTGCAAGGCAGCAGTGAGGATGGGGGAGGGTCGCTAGCCATTTCCTAGGCTTGCTTAGGTAAACAAAGCAGCGGGGAAGCTCCAACTTGGTGGAGTAAACCACAACTCAAGGAGGCCTGCCTGCCTCTGTAGGCTCCACCTCTGGGGGCAGGGCACAGACAAAAAGACAGCAGTAACCTCTGCAGACTTTGAAGAGAGCAGAGTCTGCAGCTTTGAAGAGAGCAGTTGTTCTCCCAGCATGCAGCTGGAGATCTGAGAATGGGCAGACTGCCTCCTCAAGTGGGTCCCTGACCCCTGAGCCCCGAGCAGCCTAACTGGGAGGCACCCCCTAAGTAGGGGCTGACTGACACCTCACACGGCCGGGTACTCCTCTGAGAAAAGACTTCCAGAGGAATGATCAGACAGCAGAATTCACGGTTCACGAAAATCCGCTGTTCTGCAGCCACCGCTGCTGGTACCTAGGCAAACAGGGTCTGGAGTGGACCTCTAGCAAACTCCAACAGACCTGCAGCTGAGGGTCCTGTCTGTTAGAAGGAAAACTAACAAACAGAAAGGACATCCACACCAAAAACCCATCTGTACATCACCATCATCAAAGACCAAAAGTAGATAAAACCACAAAGATGTGGAAAAAACAGTGCAGAAAAACTGGAAACTCTAAAAAGGGGAGCATCTCTCCTCCTCCAAAGGAATGCAGCTCCTCACCAGCAATGGAACAAAACTGGATGGAGAATGACTTTGATGAGTTGAGAGAATGAGGCTTCAGAGGATCAAACTACTCCAAGCTACAGGAGGAAATTCAAACCAAAGCCAAAGAAGCTGAAAACTTTGAAAAAAATTTAGATAAATGTATAACTAGAATAACCCATACAGAGAACTGCTTAAAGGAGCTGATGGAGCTGAAAGCCAAGGCTCGAGAACTACGTGAAGAAGGCAGAAGCCTCAGGAGTTGATGCCATCAACTGGAAGAAAGGGTATCAGTGATGGAAGATGAAATGAAGCGAGAAAGGAAGGTTAGAGAAAAAAAAAAGAATAAAAAGAAATGAACAAAGCCTCCAAGAAATATGGGACTATGTGAAAAGACCAAATCTATGTCTGATTGGTGTACCTGAAAGTGATGGGGAGAATGGAACCAAGTTGGAAAACACTCTGCAGGATATTATCCAGGAGAACTGCCCCAATCTAGCAAGGCAGGCCAACATTCAGATTCAGGAAATACAGAGAATGCCACAAAGATACTCCTTGAGAAGAGCAACTCCAAGACACATAATTGTCAGATTCACCAAGTTGAAATGAAGGGAAAAAATGTTAAGGGCAGCCAGAGAGAAAGGTCGAGTTACCCACAAAGGGAAGCCCATCAGACTAACAGTGGATCTCTTGGCAGAAACTCTACAAGCCAGAAGAGAGTGGGGGTCGATATTCAACATTCTTAAAGAAAAGAATTTTCAACCCAGAATTTCATATCCAGCCAAACTAAGCTTCATAAGTGAAGGAGAAATAATATACTTTACAAACAAGCAAATGCTGAGAGATTTTGTCACCACCAGGCCTGTCCTAAAGGAGGTCCTGAAGGAAGCACTAAACACGGAAAGGAAAAACTGGTATCAGCCACTGCAAAATCATGCCAAATTGTAAAGACCGTCGAGGCTAGGAAGTAACTGCATCAACTAACGGGCAAAATAACCAGCAAACATCATAATAACAGGATCAAATTCACACATAACAATATTAACTTTAAATGTAGATGGACTAAATATCACGATTAAAAGACACAGACTGGCAAATTGGATAAAGAGTCAATACCCATCACTGTGCTGTATTCAGGAAACCCATCTCACATGCAGAGACACACATAGGCTCAAAATAAAAGGAAGGAGGAAGATCTATCAAACAAATAGAAAACAAAAAAAAGGCAGGGGTTGCAATCCTAGTCTCTGATAAAACAGACTTTAAACCAAAAAAGATCAAAAGAGACAAAGAAGGCCATTACATAATGAAAAAGGGATCAATTCAACAAAAAGAGGTAACCACCCTAAATATATATGCACCCAACACAGGAGCATCCTGATTCATAAAGCAAGTCCTGAGTGACCTACAAAGAGACTTAGACTCCCACACAATAATAATGGGAGACTTTAACACCCCACTGTCAACATTAGACAGATCAACGAGACAGAAAGTCAACAAGGATACCCAGGAATTGAACTCAGCTCTGCACCAAGGGGACCTCATAGACATCTACAGAACTCTCCACCCCAAATCAACAGGATATACATTTTTTTTCAGCACCACACCACACCTATTCCAAAATTGACCATATAGTTGGAAGTAAAGCACTCCTCAGCAAATATAAAAGATCAGAAATTATAACAAACTATCTCTCAGACCACAGTGCAATCAAACTAGAACTCAGGATTAAGAAACTCACTCAAAACCGCTCAACTACATGGAAACTGCACAATCTGCTCCTGAATGACTACTGGGTACATAACGCAATGGAGACAGAAATAAAGATGTTCATTGAAACCAACGAGAACAAAGACACAACATACCAGAATCTCTGGGACACGTTCAAAGCAGTGTGTAGAGGGAAATTTATAGCACTAAATGCCCACAAGAGAAAGCAGGAAAGATCCAAAATTGACACCCTAACATCACAATGAAAAGAACTAGAAAAGCAAGAGCAAACACATTCAAAAGCTAGCAGAAGGCAAGAAATAACTAAAATCAGAGCAGAACTGAAGGAAATAGAGACACAAAAAACCCTTCAAAAAATTAATGAATCCAGGAGCTGGTTTTTTGAAAGGATCAACAGAACTGATAGACCGCTAGCAAGATTAATAAAGAAAAAAAGAGAGAAGAATCCAATAGATGCAATAAAAAGTGATAAAGAGGATATCACCACCGATCTCACAGAAATACAAACTACCATCAGAGAATACTACAAACACCTCTACGCAAATAAAGTAGAAAATCTAGAATAAATGGATAAATTACTCAACACATACACCCTCCCAAGATTAAACCAGGAAGAAGTTGAATCTCTGAGTGGACCAATAACAGGCTCTGAAATTGTGGCAATTATCAATATCTTACCAACCAAAAAGAGGCCAGGACCAGACGGATTCACAGCTGAATTCTATGAGAGGTAGAAGGAGGAACTGGTACCATTCCTTCTGAAACTATTCCAATCAATAGGAAAAAAGGGAATCCTCCCTAACTCATTTTATGAGGCCAGCATCATCCTGATAACAAAGCCGGGCAGAGACACAACCAAAAAAGAGAATTTTAGACCAATATCCTTGATGAACATCAATGCAAAAATCCTCAATAAAATACTGGCAAACTGAATCCAGTAGCACATCAAAAAGCTTATCCACTATGATCAAGTGGGCTTCATCCCTGGGATGCAAGGCTGGTTCAATATATACAAATCAATAAATGTAATCCAGTATATAAACAGAACCAAAGACAAAAACCACGATTATTTTAATAGATGCAGAAAAGGCCTTTGACAAAATTCAACAATGCTTCATGCTAAAAACTCTCAATAAATTAAGTATTGATGGGACATATCTCAAAATAATAAGAGGTATCTATGACAAACCCACAGCCAATATCATACTGAATGGGCAGAAACTGGAAGCATTCCCTTTGAAAACTGGCACAAGACAGGGATGCCCTCTCTCACCACTCCTATTCAACATAGTGTTGGAAGTTCTGGCCGGGGCAATCAGGCAGGAGAATGAAATAGAAGGCATTCAATTAGGAAAAGAGGAAGTCAAATTGTCCCTGTTTGCAGATGACATGATTGTATATCTACAAAACCCCATTGTCTCAGCCCAAAGTCTCCTTAAGCTGATAAGCTACTTCAGCAAAGTCTCAGGATACAAAATCAATGTACAAATATCACAGGCATTCTTATACACCAATAAAAGACAAACAGAGAGCCAAATCGTGAGTGAACTCCCATTCACAATTGCTTCAAAGAGAATAAAATACCTAGAAATCCAACTTACAAGGGACGTGAAAGACCTCTTCAAGGACAACTACAAACCACTGCTCAATGAAATCAAAGAGGATACAAAGAAATGGAAAAACATTCCATGCTCATGGGTAGGAAGAATCAATATCATGAAAATGGCCATACTGCCCAAGGTAATTTGTAGATTCAATGCCATCCCCATCAAGCTACCAATGACTTTCTTCACAGAATTGGAAAATACTACTTTAAAGCTCAGATGGAACCAAAAAAGAGCCCACCTTGCCAAGTCAATCCTAAGCCAAAAGAGCAAAGCTGGAGGCATCACGCTACCTGACTTCAAACTATACTACAAGGCTACAGTAACCAAAACAGCATGGTACTGGTACCAAAACAGAGATATAGATCAGTGGAATAGAACAAAGCCCTCAGAAATAACACCACATATCTGCAACTATATGATCTTTGACAAACCTGTGAAAAACAAGCAATGGGGAAGGGATTCCCTATTCAATAAATGGTGCTGGGAAAACTGGCTAGCCATATGTAGAAAGCTGAAACTGGATCCCTTCCTTACACCTTATACAAAAATTAATTCAAGATGGATTAAAGACTTAAACGTTAGACCTAAAACTATAAAAACCCTAGAAGAAAACCTAGGCAATACCACTCAGGACATAGGCATGGACAAGGACTTCATGTCTAAAACACCAAAAGCAATGGCATCAAAACTAAAATTGACAAATGGGATCTAATTAAACTAAAGAGCTTCTGCACGGCAAAAGAAACTACCATCAGAGAGAACTGGCAACTTACAAAATGGGAGAAAATTTTTGCAACCTACTCATCTGACAAAGGGCTAATATCCAGAATCTACAATGAACTCAAACAAATTTACAAGAAAATAGCAAACAACCCCATCAAAAAGTGGTTGAAGGACATGAACAGACACTTCTCAAAAGAAGACATTTATGGAGCTAACAGACACACGAAAAAATGCTCATCATCACTGGCCATCAGAGAAATGCAAATCAAAACCACAATGAGATATCATCTCACACCAGTTAGAATGGCAATCATTAGAAAGTCAGGAAACAACAGGTGCTGGAGAGGATGTGGAGAAATACGAACACTTTTACACTGTTGGTGGGACTGTAAACTAGTTCAACCATTGTAGAAGTCAGTGTGACAATTCCTCAGGGAACTAGAACTAGAAATACCATCTGACCCAGCCATCCCATTACTGGGTATATACCCAAAGGACTATAAATCATGCTGCTATAAAGACACATGCACACGCATGTTTATTGCGGCACTATTCACAATAGCAAAGACTTGGAACCAACCCAAATGTCCAACAATGATAGACTGGATTAAGAAAATGTGGCACATATACACCATGGAATAATATGCAGCCATAAAAAATGATGAGTTCATGTCCTTTGTAGGGACATGGATGAAACTGGAAATCATCATTCTCAGTAAACTATCACAAGAACAAAAAAACAAACACCACGTATTCTCACTCATAGGTGGGAATTGAACAATGAGAACACATGGACGCAAGAAGGGGAACATCACACTCGGGGACTGTTGTGGGGTGGAGGGAGGGGGGAGGGATAGCTTTAGGAGATATACCTAATGTTAAATGACGAGTTAATGGGTGCAGCACACCAACATGGCACATGTATACATATGTAACTAACCTGCGCATTGTGCACATGTACTCTAAAACTTAAAGTATAATAATAATAAAATAAAAATATGTATATATATAAATCTACAGAAATAAATGTCAAACAAGATTTATAACAACACTATGAAAGAAACTATAAAATATTATTAAAGCACATACTAAATGTGAAAAAAATAAAATAAAATAAAATAATAAAATAAAATAAAATAAAAGATATTTCCTTTTTCACCATAGGCCTCATTGTACTCTGAAACATCCCTTTGCAGATTCTACAGAAACAGTGTTTTCAAACTGCTCAATCAAAAGAAAGTTGTAACTCTGTGAGATTAATGCACATGTTACTAAGCAGGTTATCTGAAATCTTCTTTCTAGTTTTTATCTGAAGATATTTTCTTTTTCATCGTAGGCCTCAATGCACTCCCAAATATCCCTCCCCAGCTTCTACAAAAGCAGTGGGCTGGGGCACTCCTTGGGCATAAATTAGGGATGCCCAGGGTCCGTTTGTCCCTGTGTATGTGAGGTGGGAAGGCACTTTTACCTTTTGCGGTTCCACTGGGCCCCACCTATGCGTGGTGAGGATTCACTTCTGCCCATTGTGGGGGACAACTGCCTCGCCGTTTTTGTTTCCCTTCCATAGCACAGGTGCTTCCACCTCCCCTTTCAAGCCTTCCTGCCGCCTTTGGCTGTCCTCTGTGGGCCCAAGGCAGTCCAAGGACATGAATCAGGGAAGTACAGGGTCCCCTGGGCCCTGCACATGCGCGGTGTGAATGCACTTTCACTCGTGGTGGGGGACCTCTGCCTCGCCTTTTGTGTTTATCTACCACAACACAAGTGCCTCGACCTCCCATTTCAAGGCTTCCTGCCAACTTGGGCTGGCCCCGTGGGACTGGGGCACTCTGTGGCTGTGATCCAGGGAAGCCCATGGCCTTCTGGGCCCTGCACATGTGTGGAGGAAAGGCACTTTCGCCCATGGAGGGGGGACCTCTGCCTTGCCCTTTGTGTTTTACTTCCACAACACAGGTGCCTCCAACACCCCTTTCAAGACTTCCTGCTGCCTCAGGCTGGCCCCTTGGGCCCAAGGCACTCCGTGGGCGAGATCCATGTATGCGCAGGTCCCCTGGGCCCTGTGCATGCGTGGTGGGGAGGCACTTTCTCCCGTGGGGGGTAACTTTGCCGCGCCATTTGTGTTTTCCTTCCACACAACAGGTGCCTCGACCTCCCCTTTCAAGCCTTCCTTGAGGAGGCCCCGCTGAGCCTGAGGTGCTCTGTGGGTGCAAACCAGGGATGCCCAGGGTCCCCTGGGCCCCATGCATGCATGATGGGGTGGCACTTTCGCCAGTGGTTGGGGACATCTGCCACGCCATTTGCGATTTCCTTCCACACCACAGGTGCCTCCACCTCCCCTTTCAAGCTTTCCTGCCACCTTGGGCTGGCCCCCATGGGCTGAGGCTCTCTGTGGACATGAACCAGGGATGCCCAGGGTCCCCTGGGTCCTGCACATGCGTGATGGGTAGGCACTTCCACCCGAGGGGTTAACCTCTGCCTCGCTGTTTGTGTTTTCCTTCCACAACACACGTGCCTGCACCTCCCCTTTCAAGGTTTCCTGCCACCTTGGGCTGGACCCCGTGGGCCCAAGGCACTCCTTGGGCATGGATCAGGGACGCCCAGAGTCCCCTGGGCCCCGCACATGTGTGGTGGGGAGGCACTTTCACCCGTGTTGGGGGAACCCTACCTCGCTCTTCGTGTTTTCCTTTGACAACACTGGAGCCTGCACCTCCACTTTCAAGAATTCCTGCCGCTTTGAGCTGGACCCCGTGGGCACAAGATGTTCCGTGGGCATGAACCAGATATGCCCAGGATCCCCAGGGCTCCATGCATGCACGGTTGGGTGGCACTTTCGCCCGTGGGTGGGACCTCTGCCGTGACTTATTTTGTCCCTCCATACCACATAGGTGTCTCGACTTCCCCTTTGAAGCCTTACTACCGTTTTAAGCTGTCCTCCGTAGGCCTGAGACACTCTGTGGGCATGAAGCAGGGATGCCCAGGATCCCGTGGGTCCCACGCATCCGTGGTTGGGAGGCACTTTCTCCCATGGGGGGACCTCTGCCACTGCGTTTTTATTCCTCACATATCACACAAGTGCCTCATCCTCCTCTTTCAAGCCTTCCTGCCGCTTTGGGCTGCCACCCGTGGGCCCAAGATGCTCTGTGGGCACCAACTAGGGACGGCCAGGATCCTCGGGGTCCCACATATGTGCGGTTGGGAGGAGTTACGCCCATTGGGGGAACTGTGGTGCACCTTTTTTTGTCCTTCCACACAACATAGGTGCCTCGACCTCACCTTTCAAGCCTTCCTGCCGCTTGGGGCTGTTCGCCTTGGGCCTGAGATGCTCCTTGGGCCAGAACCAGGGATTCCCACAATCCCGTGGGTGCAGTGAATGCGCGGTTGGGAGGCACTTTCACCTGTTGTGGGGACCTCGGCGGCTCCGTTTTTTTATCCTTCCACAACACTCAGGTGCCTTGACCTCCAATTTCAAGGCTTCCTCTTTGGGCTGCCCACTGTGGGCCCAAGATGCTCTGTAGGCATGAACCAGGGATGTTCTGGATCTCCTGGGCCCCACGCATGTGCGGGTGAGAACTATCGCCTTTGGTGGGTACCCATGCCACGACATTTTTTTTCCTTCCACAACAAACGGTGCCTCGACCTCCCATTTCAAGCCTTCCTGTCGCTTTGAGCTGCCCCCTGTGGGCCCGTGATGCCCTGTAAGCGTGAATCAGGGATGCCGAGGATCCCCTGGGACCCTCGCATGAGTGGTTGGGAGGCACTTTCGCCCTTGGCAGGGACCTCTGCCGTGCCGTGTTTTTTTCCTTTCAAACCACAAAGGTGCCTCGACTTCCCATTTCAAGGCTTCCTGCCGCTTTGGGCTGCCTCCTGTGGCCCTGAGATGCTATGTGAGCACAAGACTGGTATACCCATTATCCCCTGGCCCCACGCATGCACTCTTGGGGGGTACTTTTGCCCGTGGGGAGACTTCTGACACACCATTTTATTTCCGTCCACACCACACAGGTGCCTCGACCTCCCCTTTCAAGATTTCCTGCCATTTTGGGCTGCAACACTTGGGCCGGAGGTGCTCCGTGGGCACAAAACAGGGAACCCCAGCATCCTCTGGGACCAGCACATGCGCGGATGATGGGCGCTTTTGCCTGTTCGGGGGACCTCGGCCACGACATTTGTTTCCCTTCCAGAATACACAGGTGCCTCGACCTCCCCTTTCAAGCCTTCCTGCCGCTTTACGCTTCTCCTGGGGGGCCCGAGATGCCCTGTGGGCACAAACCACGGAGGTCCAGGATCCCCTGGGCCCCAGACATGTGCAGTTGGGAATCACTTTGGCTGTGGAGGGGACCTCGGCCGCGCCATTTTTTTTTTCCTTCCAACCACACAGGTGACCTGACCTCCTTTTTCAAGCCTTCCTGACGCTTTGGGCTGCCCCCTGTGGGCCTGAAATGCTCCATGGGAGCAAAGCAAGTATGTCCAGGATCCCCTGGGCCCCACGCATGAGCAGTTGAGAGGCACGTTCGCCCGTGGAGGGACCTCTGCTGCGCCGTTTTGTTTTCCTTCCTCATCACACAGGTGCTTCGACCTCCCCTTTCAAGCTTTCGTGCCGCTTTAGGCTGCCCCCCGTGGGCCTGAGACACACCGTGGGCATGAACCAGAAACGCCAAGGATCCCCTGGGATCTGCGCATGTGCAGTTTGGAGGCACTTTCGCCTGTGGGGGGACCTCTGTCGTGCTGTATTTTTTTCCTTCCTCATCATACAGGTGCCTCGACCTCACTTTCCAAGCCTTCCTGCCACTTTGGGCTGCCCCCCGTGGGCCCAAGACTCTCCGTGGGTGTGAACCAGGGATGCCCAGGATCTCCTAGGCCCCGCACATGTCCTGTGGGGAGGCACTTTTGCCCGCAGGGGGCGGACATCTGCCTCACCTTTTGGTTTTTCCCTCCACAACACAGGTGCCTTCACTTCCTCTTTCAAACCTTCCTGCCACCTTGTGCTGCCCCCATAGGCCCGAGGTGCTCCATGAGTGTGAACCAGGGACCCCCAAGGTCCCCTGGGCCCCACGCATGTGCTGTGGGGAGGCTCTTTCAGCCATGGGGGGGACCACTGATTCACCATTTGTGTTTTCCTTCCACAACACAGGTGACTCCACCTCCCCTTTCAAGTCTTCCTGCCGCCTTGGGCAGACCCTGTGGGCCCAAGCCGCTCCATGGGTGGTACCCAGGGAAACCCATGGTCCCTGGTGCCCCACACCTGCCCTGTTGGGAAGCACTTTCGCCCATGGGGGGACTTCTGCCGTGCCATATTTTATTCCTTCCTCACCACACAGTTACCTCTACCTCCCCTTTCAAGTTTTCCTGCCGCTTTTGGCTGCACTCCATTGGCCCGAGACGCTCCGTGGGCATGAAACAGGGATGCACAAGAAACCCTGGGCCCCATGCATGTGCAGTTCGGAGGCACTGTCGCCCGTGCAGGGACCTCTGCCGCACCGTATTTTTTCCTTCCACACTACACAGGTGCCTCAACTTTCTCTTTCAAGCTTTCCTGCCGCTTTTGGCTACCCCCCGTGGGCTTGAGATGCTCCGTGGGGGGTGAACCAGGGATGCCCAGGATAACCTGGGCCTCCCGTTGGGCGGTTGGGAGTCACTTTTGCCTGTGGGGGGATATCTGCAGCACCTTATTTTTTTCCTTCCTCACCACACAGGTGCTCTGACTTCCCCTTTCAAAAGTTCCTTCTGCTTTGGGCTGCCCCCATGGCCCCGATATGCTCCATGGGCGTGAAACAGGGATGGCTCATATCCCCGGGGATCCATGCATGCGTGGTTGGGAAGTACTTCTGCCTGTTGGGGGGGCCTCTGCTGCGCCAGTTTTTCTTTCCTTCCACACCACTCAGGTGCCTCGACCTCCCCATTCAAGCCTTCCTGACGCTTTGGGCTGCCCCCCTTTTGCCTGATATGCTTTGTGGCCATGAACCAGGGAAGCCCAGGATCTACAGGGCCCCGTGCATGCGTGGTTGGGAGGCAGTTTCGTCCTTTAGGGGACCTCTGCCGTGCCGCTTTTTTTTTCCTTCCACACCACACAGATGCCTCGACTTCCCCTTTCAGTCCTTCCTGACGCTTTGGGTTGCCCCCTGTGGGCTCCAGATGCTCCGTGTGCACGAAGCAGTGATGCCCAGGATTCCCTAGAACCCATGCATTTGCGGTTAGGAGTCACTTTCTCCCGTGGGGGGACCTCTGCAGTGACTTTTTTTGTCCTTCCATACAACACAAGTGCCTTGACTACCATTTTGAAGCATTACTTCCGCTTTTATCTGCCCCCTGTGGGCCTGAGACACTCTGTGAATGCTAACAGGGACACATAGGATCCCCTGGGTCCCGCGAATGAGCGGTTGGGAGGCACATTCTCCCGTTGGGGACCTCTGCCGACATGTTTTTTTTCCTTCCACACCACGCAGGTGCCTCAACCTCCGCATTCAAGCCTTCCTGCTGCTTTGGGCTGCTCCTCTTTCGCCTGATACAATTTGTGGGCATGAACCAGGGAAGCCCAGGATCCCCAGGTCCCCACGCATGTGTGGTTGGGAGGCACTTTCGCCCGTTGAGGGACCTCTGCCCCGCCATTTTTTTTTTCCTTACACAACACACCAATGCCTCGACCTCCCTTTTCAATCCTTCCTGCCTCTTTGGGTTGCCTCCTGTGGGCCCGAGATGCTCCGTGGGTGCAAACCAGGGGCTCCCAGGATACCCTGAGACCCACGCATATGTGTTTCAGAGTCACTTTCGCCTGTAGGGGGAACCTCTGCTGCGACTTTCTTTGTCCTTCCATAACACACAGGTGCCTCGACTTCCCCTTTGAATACTTACTGCCACTTTGACCTGCCCCCCGTGGGCCTGAGACACTGTCCGCATGAAGCAGGGAAGCCCAGGATTCCCTGGTCACCACACGTGCGCAGTTGGGAGCACTTTCACCCATTGTGGGGACCTATGGCTTGCCATTTTTTTTTCCTTCCACACCACACAGGTGCCTCAACCTCACCTTTCAAGCTTTCCTGCCGCTTGGGGCTGTCCCCCGTGGGCCTGAGAAACTCCTTCAGCCTGATCCAGGGATGTCCACAATGCTCTGGGCATGGTAATGCGCGGTTGGGGGGCACTTTCGCCTGTCGAGGGGACATCTGTGGCTCCCTTTTTTTTTTCCTCCCACAACACACAGGGGACTCGATCTCCCCTTTCAAGCCTTCTTGCCACTTTGGGCTGCCCCCCTTGGACCCAAGATGCTTTGTTGGCGTGAACCAGGGAAACCCAGGATCCCCTGGGCCCCACACATGCCGGGTTGGAAGGCACTTTCGCCCATGGGGGGACCTCTGCTGCACCGTTTTTATTCCTTCCATACCACACAGGTGACTCGACTTCCCCTTTCAAGCCTTACTTCCGCTTTGATCTGCCCCGTGTGAGCCTGAGACTCTCCTTGAACATGAAGCAGGGAGATGCAGGATACCCTGGGCCCCGCGAATCAGCGGTTGGGAGGCCCTTTCTCCCCTGCTGCGCGTTTCTTTTTCCTTTCACACCACACAAGTGCCTCCACCTCCCCTTTCAAGACTTCATCCCTCTTTGGGCTGCCCACTGTGAGCCTGAGATGCCCGAGGGTGCCAACCAGAGAAGCCCAGGAGCCCCTGGGCCCCGCACATGAGCAGTTGGGGGCTATTTCGCCAGTGGGGAGGACCTCGGCTGTGCCTTTTATTATTTCCCTTCCACCCACACAGGTGCCTCTAACTACCTTTTGAAGCCTTCCTGCTGCTTTGGGCCTCCCCCCATGTCCGCAAGATGCTCCCTGGGTGTGAAACAGGGACGCCCAGGATCCCCAGAGCCCCATGCATGTGCGGTTAGGTCGCATTTTTGCCTTTAGTGAGGACCTATGCTGTGCCATTTTTTTTCCTTCCACAACACTCACGTGTCTCGACCTCCAATTTCAAGCCTTCCTGCCACTTTTGGCTGCCCCCTGTGGGCCTGAGACACTCTGTAGGCACGAACCAGGGGCGCCCAGGACTACCTGGGCCCTAAGCATAGGCGGATGACAAGCACATTCTCCTTTGATGGGGACCTATGCTGTGTCATTTTTTTTCCTTCTACAACACACAGGTGCCTCGACCTCCCCTTTCAAACCTTCCTGCTGCTTTGGGCAGACCCCCGTGGGCCCGAGACTCTCTGGGTGCATGAAGCAGGGATTCCCAGGATGCCCTGGGTCCCATGCATGCTGGTTTGGGAGGCACTTTCGCCCATGGGGCGGACCTCGGTCGCACCGTTTTTTTGTCCTTCCACACCTCACAGGTGCTTCAACCTCCCCTTTCAAGCTTTCCTGCCTCTTTAGACTGCCCCCCATAGGCCCGAGGCGCTCCATGGGCATGAACCAGGGACACCCAGGATCCCCAGGGACCCACGCATGTGCGGTTGGGAGGCACTTTCGCCCGATGGGGGACCTCTGCCGCGCCGTTTTTTTTTTTTCCTTCCACACCACACAGATGCCTCGACATATCCTTTCAATCCTTCCTGCCGTTTTCGGTTGCCTCCTGTGAGCCCAAGATGCCCTGGGTCGCTAACCAGAAACGCCCAGGATTCCTTGGGACCCACGCATGTGCAGTTGGGAGTCATTTTCGCCCTTGGGGCGAACCTCTGCCACGACGTGTTTTTGTGCTTCCATACCACACAGGTGCCTCGACTGCTCATTTGAAGCCTTATTGACTCTTTGAGCTGTCCCCCACGGGCCTGTGACATTCTGTGGGCATGAAGCTGGGACGGGAGGATGCCCTGGGCTCTGCACATGCGCAGGTGAGAAGCATTTTCACCTGTGGTGGAGACCTATGCCACGTCATTTGTTTTCCTTCCACAACACACGGGTGCCTCGACCTCCCATTTCAAACCTTCCTGTTGCTTTGAGCAGCTCCCCCATGGGCCTGAGACACTCTTGGTGCATGAACCAGGGATGCCCAGGATCCTCTGGGCCCTGTGTATGCTCGTTTGGGAGACACTTTCGCCCCTGGGGGAGATCTCTGCCGCACCGTGTTTTTTTTCTCCTTTCACACCGCACAGGTGTCTAAACCTCCCCTTTCAAGCCTTCCTGCCGCTTTAGGCTGCCCCCCGTGGGCATGAGACCCTCAGTGGGCATCAACCAGGGATGCCAAGGATCCCCTGGGTGCCACGCCTGTGTGGTTGGGAGGCACTTTCGTCCATTGGGGGGACTTCTGTGTCGCCTTTTCTTTTCCTTCCACACCACACAGGTGAATCGACCTCCCATTTCAAGCCTTCCTGGCATTTTGGGCTGTCCCCTGTGGACCTGAAACCCTCCATGGCTGGGAACGAGAGATGTGCAGGATCCCCTGGGGCCCACAGATGCACAGTTGAGAGGTACTTTCATCTTTGGAGGGGGGACCTCTCCCACGCCATTTTGTTTTCCTTCCACAACAAACAGGTGCCTCAACCTCCCATTTCAAGGCTTCCTACCGCTTTGAGCTTCCCCTGTGGGCATGAGATACTCCATGCGCAAGAACAAGGGATGCCTAGGATCCCCCGAGACCCTCGCATGTGCGATTGGGAGGCACTTTCACCCTTGGGGGGGACATCTGCTGCTCCGTGTTTTTTTCCTTTCAAACCACAAACGTGCCTCGACCACCCCTTTCAAGTCTTCCTACCGCTGTGGGCTGCTGCTGTGGGCCCAAGACACTATGGGGGAGCAAAACAGGGATGCTCAGTATCCCCTGGGCCCCACGCAAATGCGGTTGGGGGGTACTCTTGCCCATGGGGGGGGACCCCTGCCGTGCCGTTTTTTTTCCTTCCACACCACACAGGTGACTCGACCTCTCCATTCAAGCCGTCTTGCCGCCTTGGGCTGCCCCCCTTTGGCCTGATACGCTTTGTGGGCATGGACCAGGGAAACCCTGGATCCACAGGTCCCCATGCATGCGTGGCTAGGAGGCACTTTCTCCCGTTATGGGACCTCTGCTGCACCTTTTTTTTCCTTTGGCACCACACAGATGCCTCGACCTCCCCTTTCAATAATTCCTGCCGCTTTGGGTTGCCCCTGTGGGTCTGAGGTGCTTCATGGGCATGAACCAGGGACACCCAGGATTCCATGGGACCTACACATGCGCAGCTGGGAGTCAGTTTCGCCCGTGGGAGGACCTCTGCTGCGCCATTTTTTTTTCCTCCCACAACATAAAGGGGACTCGAACTCCCTTTTCAAGCATTCCTGCTGCCTTGGGCTGTCCCTCTTGGGCATGAACCAGGGAAGCCCAGGATCCCCTGGGCCCCGTCCATGCGCGATTGAGATTGGCCCCTGGGGGGGAACTCTGCCACGCCATTTTTTTTCCTTCCATACCACACAGGTGTCTCGAATTCCCATTTCAAACTTTACTTCAGCTTGGATCTGCCCCCTGTGGGCATGAGACACTCAGTGAACGCGAAGCAGGGAGACATAGAATGCCCTGGGCACTGGGAATGAGCAGTTGGGAGGCACTTTCTCCCGTGGCAGGACTTCTGTCATGGCGGGTTTTTATTTTCCTTTCACACCACACAAATGTCTTGACCTCCCCTTTCAAGCCTTCATGAAGCTTTGGGCTGCCCCACGTGAGCCCGAGATGCTCTGAGCCTGCAAACCAGGGAAGCCCAGGATACTCTGGGGCCCGCGCATGAACAGTTGGGGGCTATTTCACACGTGGGGAGGACCTCTGCTTTGCCTTTTTTTTTCCTTCCACACCACACAAGTGCCTCTACCTCACCTTTGAAGACTTCCTGCTACTTTGAGCTTCACCCCATGTCCCCAGGATGCTCCGTGGGTGTGAAATAGGGATGCCCAGGATCCCCAGCACCCTGTGCATGTGTGGCTAGGAGGCATTTTTGCCTTTAAGGAGGACCTATGCCGCGACATGTTTTTATCCTTCCACAACACTCAGGTGTGTCGACTTCCAATTTCAAGTCTTCCTGCCACTTTGGGCTGCCCCCCGGGGGCCTGAGACTCTCTGTAGGCATGAACCAGGGCATCCCAGGATCCCCTGGGACCCATGAGTGCATGGGCAAGTGGCACTTTCACCTTTGGTGGGGACCTATGTAGCGTCAATTTTTTTCCTTCCACAACAAACAGGTGCCTCAAACTCCCCTTTCAAACATTCCTGCTGCTTTGGGCAGCCCCACGTGGACCTGAGACGCTCTGGGTGCATGAAGCACCAACGCGCAGGTTCCCCAGGGCCGTGTGCATGCTCATTTGGGAGGTACTTTTGCCCGTGGGGCAGACCTCGGCGGTACCTTATTTTTGTCCTTCCACACCACACTCGTGCCTCAACCTTCCCTTTCAAGCCTTTCTGCCGCTTTAGGCTGCCCCTTGTGGGCACGAGGTACTCCATGGGCATCAATCAGGGATGCCAAAGATCCCCTCCACCCCATGTATGCACGATTCAGAGACACTTTTGTCTTTGGGGGGGGACCTCTGACACTCCATTTTGTTTTCCTTCCACAACAAGCAAGTGCCTTGACTTCCCGTTTCAAGCCTTAATCTTACTGCCACTTTGAGCTGCTCCCCATGGGCCCCACACACTCTGTGCACAAGAACCAAGGAGGCATTGGATCCCTGGGACCTTCACATGCGTGGTTGGGAGGTACTTTTACCCTTGGGTGTAACCTCTGCCACGCCGTGTTTTTTTCCTTTCAAACCACAAAGGTGCCTCGACCTCCCCTTTCAAGACTTCCTGCTGCTTGGGCTGCCCCCCGTGGGCCCAAGATGCTCTGTGTGCATGAAACAAGGGTGCCCAGTGTCCCCTGGGTCCCACCCATGTGCGGTTGGGAGGTACTTTTGCTCATGGGTGGACCTCTGTGGTGCCTGTTTTTTTTCCTTCCACACCACACAGGTCCCTCGACATCCCCATTCAAGCCTCTCTGCTGCACTGGGCTGCCCCTTCTGACCCGATATACTTTGTGGGCATGAACCAGGGAATCCAAGAATCCCCAAGTCCCCACACATGCGTGGTTGGGAGGTAATTTCGCCTGTTGTGGGACCTCTGCAATGCCGTTTTGTTTTTCCTTCCATACCACACAGATGCCTCAACCTCCCCTTTCAATAATTCCTGCCGCTTTGGGTTTCCCCCTGTGGGCCCGAGATGCTCTGAGGGTGCAAACCAGGGAAGCCCAGGATCCCCTGTTACCTGCGCATGTGTGGTTTGGAGTCACTTTAGCCCTTGGGGGAACCTCTGAAGTGACAATTTTTCATCCTTCCATACCACACAGGTGCCTCGACATCCTATTTCAAACCTTCCTGCTGCTTGGGGCTTCCCCCTGTGGGCATTAGATGCTCTGTGGACATGAATCACAGAAGCCCAGCATCACCTGCACCCTTTTGGCTGTACCCTGTGGGCCCGAGACTCTATGATGGTGCCAACCAGGGATGTCCAGGATACCCTGCACCCTGCACATGTGCAGTTGGGAGACACTTTTTCCTGTGAGGGGGACCTCAGCCATGCCGGTTTTTTTTTTTTTTAATTTCCCCACCACACAAGAGCCTTGACCTCCCCTTTCAAAACTTCCTGCCACTTTGGGCTGCTCCACGTGGTCCTGAGACGCTCCGTGGGTGTGAACCAGGGACACCCAGGATCACCTACGCCTTGTGCATGCATGCTGGGGATGCACTTTTGCCCATTTGTGGGGGACCTCTTCCTCACCATTTGTTTTTTTCTTACACAACACAGTGCCTCCACCTCCTATTTCAAGTCTTCCTGCCACCTTGGGCTGGTCCCTGTGGGTCCGAGTTGCTCCATGGGTGTGAACCAGGGACCCTCAGGGGCCCCTGGACCCATGCATGTGTGATGGGGAGGCTCTTTCACCCATTGATGGGGGACCTCTAAGTCGCCATTTGCATTTTCCTTCCACAACACAGGTGACTCCACCTCCCCTTTCAAGGCTTCTTGCTGCCTTGGGCTGTAGCCCGTGGGCCCGAGGCACTCCTTGGGCATGGATCAGGGAAGCCCCAGAGTCCCCTAGGCCTCATGCATGAGCGGTGGGGAGGCACTTTCACCCATGTTGGGGGACGTTTGCCTCGCCATTTGTGTTTTCTTTTCACAACACTGGAGCCTGCGCATCCCCTTTTAAGCCTTCCTGTGGCCTTGGGCTGGCCCCTGTGGGCAGACGCCCTCCTTGAGTGAGAACCTGGGGTGCCCAGGATCCCCAGCCCTCCAATCATACGTGGGTGGGAAGCACTTTCGCCCATGGGGGCCACTGCTGCGCTGTTTCTTTTTCTTCCTCACCACACGGGTGCCTCAACATCCCTTTCAAGCCATCCTGCCACTTTGGGCTGTCCATTGTGGGCCTGAGACAACCCATGGCAGGGAAAGAAACATACCCAGGATCCCCTCGGCCCCTTGTTGTATGCCCGGTTGGGTGGCACTTTCGCCTGTGGGAGAACTTGTGCTGCACTGTATGTTTTTCCTTCCATGCCACACAAGTGCCTCGACTTCCCCTTTCAAAACTTCCTGTCGCTTTGGGCTGCACCCTTGGCCCTGAGATGCTCCATGGACATGAAAAAAGGATGCCCAGTATGCCCTGGGACCTGCGCATGTGCAGTTGGGAGGCACTTTTGCCCATGGGGGGGACCTATGCTGCTCTGATTTTTTTCCATTCACACGACACAGGAGTCTCAACCTCCCCATTCAAGCCTCCCTACCACTTTGGGCTGTCCCCCTTTGGCATGATACACTTTGTGGGCATCAGCCAGGGAAACCCAGGATCCCCAAGGCCCAGGGCATCTGTGGTTGGGAGGATTCTACAAAAAGAGTATTTCCTTATGGTTCCATCAAAAGAAAGGTTTAGCACTGTGACATGAATGCACACATCACAAAGCAGTTTCTCGGAAAGCTTCTTTCCAGTTTTTATCTGAAGATATTTGTTTATTCACCATGGGTCTCACTGAGCTCCCAAATACCCCTACAGAGATTCTACCATCTTTCCAAATGGCTCCACCAAAAGAAATGTTTAATTATGTGAGATGAAAGCACACATCACTGAGCAGTTTCTCAGAAAGCTTCTGTATAGTTTTTATCTGAAGTAATTTCCCTTTTCACCACATGACTGACAATGCTCCCAAGTATGTCTTCACAGATTCTACAAATACAGTGTTTCCAAACTGCTCCTTCAAAAGCAAGGTTTAACTCTGTGAAATGAATGCACACATCACAAAGCAGTTTCTCACAAAGCTTCTTTCTAGATGTTCTCTGAAGATATTTCCTTTTTCATAATAGTCCTCAATGCGCTCCCAAATACCACTTTGCAGATTCTACAAAAGCAGTGTTTCCAAACTACTCCACCAAAAGAAAGGGTTAATTCTATCAGACAAAAGTACACACCACCAAGCAGTTTCTCAGAAAGTTTCTGTCTAGTTTGTATCTGGAGCAATTTCCCTTTTCACTGTATACCTGAAAGCACTCTCAAATATGCCTTCACAGATTCTACAAATACAGTGATTCCAAACTGCTCCTTCAGTAGAAAGGTTTAGGTCTGTGAGATGAATGCACACATCACAAAGCAGTTTCTCACAAAGCTTATTTCTAGTTTTCCTCTGAAGATATTTCTCTTTTCACCACAGGCCTAAATGCACTCCCAAATATCCCTTTGCAGATTCTACAAATACAGTGTTTCCAAACTACTCCATCAAAAGAAAGGTTTAACTCTGTGAGATTAATGAACACATCACAAAGCAGTTTCTCAGAAAGTTGCATTCTAGTTTTTGTCTAAAGATATTTCCATTTTCACCATAGGACTCAAAGTTCTCCAAAATATCCCTTCGCAGATTATACAAAAACAGTTTTTACAAACTGCTCCATCAAAACAAAGGTTTAACTCTGTGAGATGAATGCACACATCACAAAGCAGTTTCTCACGAAGCTTCTTTCTAGTTTTACTCTGAAGATATCTCGTTTTTCACAAGAGGCCTCAATGTGCTCCCAAATATCCCTTTGCAGATTCTATATAAAACAGTGTTTCCAAACTACTCCATCAAAAGAGAGGTTTAATTCTGTGAGATGAAAGCAAACATCACCAAGCGGTTTCTCAGAAAGCTTCTGTCTAGCTTTTATCTTAAGTAATTTCCCTTTTCACCATGTATCTGAGAGCACTCCCAAATATGCCTTTGCAGATTCTACTAATACAACTTTTCCAAACTGCTCCTTCAATCGAAAGGATTAACTCTGTGAGATGAACGCACACATCCAAAGCAGTTTCTCAGAAAGCTTCTTTCTAGTTTTTGTCTAAAGTTATTTCTATTTTAACCATAATCCTGAATGCACTCCAAAATATCCCTTCGCAGTTTATACAAAAACAGAGTTAACAAACTGCTCCATCAAAGGAAAGGTTTAACTCTGTGAGATGAATGCATACATCACAAATAAGTTTCTCAGAAAGTTTCTTTCTAGTTTTTCTCTGAAGAAATTTCCTTTTAACCATAGGAATCAAAGTGCACCAAAATATCCATTCACAGATTATACAGGAACAGTATTTACCAATTGCTCCATCAAAAGAAATGTTTAACTGTGTGAGATGAATGCACAGGTCACAAAGCAATTTCTTAGAAAGCTTCTTTCCAGTTTTTCTCTGAAGATATTTCACTTTTTACTGTAGGCCTCAATATGCTCCCAATTATCCCTTCACAGATTCTACAAAAACAGTGTTTCCATTCTACTCCATCAAAACGAAAGTTTACCTCAGTGAGATGACTGCACACATCACAAAGCAGCTTCTCACAAAGCTTCTTTCCAGTATTTATCTGAAGATATTCCTAATTCACCATAGGCCTCAATGAGTTCCCAAATATCCCTACCCAGATTCTACAAAAAGACTGTTTCCAAACTGCTCCACCAAAAGAAATATTTAATTCTGTGAGATGAAAGCACACTTCACAAAGCAGTTTCTCAGAAAGCTTCTTTCTAGTTTTTATCTGAAGATGTTTCCTTTTTCACCATAGGACTGATAGCCTGCCCAAATGTGCCTTCGCACATTCCACAAATACAATGTTTCCAAACTGCTCCTTCAAGAAAAGGTTTAAATCTGTGAGATGAATGCACACATCACAAAGCAGTTTTGCACAAAGCTTCTTTCTAGTTTTCCCCTGAAGGTATTTCCTTTTTCAGTATAGGCCTCAATGGGCCCCAAAATACACCTTCACAGATTATAAAAAGTGTTTTCAAACTACTCAGCCATAAGAAATGTTGAATTCTGTGAGATGAAAAACACCTCACCAAGCAGTTTCTCAGAAAGCTTCTGTCTAGTTTTTATCTGAAGTGATTTTCCTTTTCACCATGTACCTGAAAGTGCTCCGAAACATGCCTTCGCTGATTCTACAAATACAGTATTTCCAACTGCTCCTTCAATAGAAAGGTTTAACTCTATGCAATGAATGTATACATTGCAAAGCTGTTTCTCAGAAAGCTTCTTTCCAATTTTTATCTGAAGATATTTACTTATTCACCGTAGAGCTCAATAAGCTCTCAAATATCCCTATGCAAATTCTACAAACACTTCACAAAGCAGTTTCTCAGAAAGCTTCTGCCTAGTTTTTATCTGAAGTGATTTCTTTTTTCACCATACGACTGAAAGCACTCTCAAATATGCCTTCACAGATTCTACAAATACAGTGTTTCCAAACTGCTCCTTCAAAAGAAAGGTTTAACTCTGTGAGTTGAATGCACTTATTACAAAGCAGTTTCTTAGAAACCTTCTTTCTAGTTTTTCTCTGAAGACATTTCCCTTTTCACCATAGGCCTCAATGGGCTTCCAATTATCCCTTCCCAGATTATACAAAAACAGATTTTCCACACTGCTCCATCAAAAGAAAAGTTTAACTCTGTGAGACGAATGCACACATCACAAAGCAGTTTCTCAGAACGCTTCTTTCCAGTTTTTATCTGAAGATATTTTCTTATTCACCATAGACCTCAATACGCTCCCAAATATCCCTAAGCAGATTTTAAAAAAACAGTCTTTCCAAACTGCTCCACCAAAACAAATGCTTAATTCTGTGAGATGAAAGCACACTTCACAAAGCAGTTTCTCAGAAAGCTTCTGCCCTGTTTTTATCTGAAGTGGTTTCCCTTTTCACCATATGACTGAATGCGCTCTCAAATATACCTTCGCAGATTCTACAAATACAGTGTTTCCAAATTGCTCCTTCAAAAGAAAGGTTAAACTCTGTGAGATGAATGCACACATCACAAAGCAGTTTCTCAGAAAGCTTCTTTCTAGTTTTTATCTGAAGGTATTTCCTTTTTGAATGTGCCCCCAAATATCTAACATAGTTAAACCATTCTTTTCATAAAGCAATTTTGAAACACTGTTTTTGTAGAATCTGCGAAGGGCTATTTGGTTGTGCATTGATTCCTATGCTTAAAAAGAAAACGTCTTCTGATGAAAACTAGAAGGAAGCTTTCTGAGAAACTGCTTTGCGATGTGTGCATTCACATCACAGAGTTCAGCAATACTTTGGAATCAGTATTTTGGAAACCCTGTTTTTGTCCATTCTGCAAATGGATATTTGGGAGCTCATTGGGGCCAAAGTCATAAAGCAAATATACTAGGGTAAAAACTGGAAGGAAGCTATATGAGAAACCACTTTGTGATGTCTGCATTCATCTCCCAGATTTAATCCTTTCTTTCATTCAGCAGTTTGCAAACACTGTTTTTTTTAGAATGAGCGAAGGGCTATTTGGGAGTGCATTGAGACCTACAGTGAAAAAGGAAACATATTCAGATAAAAACTAGAAAGGTTTCTGAGAAACTGCTTTGTGATGTGTGCATTCATTTCACAGGTATAAACCTTTCTTTCCATTCAGCAGTTTGGAGACACTGTTTTTGTAGAATCTGGGAAGGGATATTAGGGAGTGCATTGAGGCCTATGGTGAAAAGGGAAATATCTTCAGATAAAAACAGGAATCTTTCAGAGAAATTGCTTTGTGATGTACACATTCATCTCACAGTTAAGCCATACTTTGGATTCTGCACTTTGGAAACACTGTTTTTCTCCATTCTGTGAATGGACTTTTGGGAGCTCATTGAGGTCAATGGCAAAAAAGTGAGTATCCCAGGATAAAAACTAGAAAGAAGCCTTCTTAGAAACTGCTTTGTGATGTGTGGATTCATCTCACAGTTACCTTTATTTTGATAGAGAAGTTTGGAAACACTGTTTTGGTAGAACCTGTGAAGGGATATTTGGGAGTGCATTGAGGTCTACTGTGAAAATGGAAGTGTATTCAGAGAAATGGTAGAAAGAAGCTTTCTGAGAAACTGTTTTGTGATATGTGAATTCATCTCACAGAGTTAAACCTTTCTTTTCATTCAGCAGTTTGGAAACACTGTTTTAGTAGAAACTGTGAAGGGATATTTGGAAATGCATTGAGGCCTATGGTGAAAAACGAAATATCTTCAGAGAAAAACTAGAAAGAAGCTTTCTGAGAAACTGCTTTGTGATGTGTGCATTCATCTCACAGAGTTAATCCTTTCTTTTGAATGAGAAGGTTGGAAACAATGTTTTGGTAGAACCTGGAAAGGGATATTTGGGAGCACAGTTAGGTCTATGTTGAAAAAGGAAACATCTTCAGATAAAAACTAGAAAGAAGCTCTCTGAGAAACTGCTTTGTGATGTGTGCATTCATCTCAAACTGTTAAAACTCTCTTTGGATTCAGCATCTTGGAAACACTGTTATTGTCCATTCTGTGAATGGACATTTAGGAGCTCTTTGAGGACAATGGTAAAAAATCAAATATCCCAGGATAAAAACTAGGAGGAAGCTATCTGAGAAACCACTTTGTGATGTTCAGTCATCTCGAAGAGTTAAAACTTTCTTTTCATTGAGTAGTTTGGAAACACTGTTTTTGTAGATTGTATAAAGTGATATTTGGGAGCACATTGAGGCCTACGGTGAAAAAGGAAACATCTTCAGATAAAAACCAGAAAGCAGATTTCTGAGAAACTACTTTATTATGTGTGCTTTCATCTCACAGAGTTAAAAATTGCTTTGGATTCAGCAGTTTCAAAACACTTTTTTTGTAAATTCTGTGGTACACTTGGTAGCTAATTGAGGTCAATGGCAAAAAACCATATATCCCCAGATAAAAACGAGAAGGAAGGTGTCTGAGAAACTTCCTTGTGATGTGTCACAGAGTTAAACCTTTGTTTTCACTCAGAGGTTTAGAAACAATGTTTTTGAAGAATATGTAAAGGGTTATTTGGGAGTGATTTCAGGCCTATGGTGAAAAAGGATTGAACCTCAGATAAAAACTAGAAAGAAGCATTCTGAGAAACTGTTTTCTGATGTGTGCATTCATTTCACAGAGGTAAACCTTTCTTTGGATTCACCAGTTTGCAAACACTGCTTTTGTCCATTCTGTGAATGGATATTTGGGAGCTCATTGAGGCCAATGGCAAAAAAGCAAATATCCCAGGATAAAAACTTGAAGGAAGCTACCTGATAAACTGCTTTGTGATATGTGCATTCATCTCACAGAGTTAAACCTTTCTTTTCATATGGCAGAGTGGAAAAACTCTTTTTATAGTATCTGTGAAGGGCCGTTTGGAAACGCATTGATGCCTATGGTGAAAAAGGTAATATCTTCAGATGAAAACCAGAAAGAAACTTTCTGAGAAACTGCTTTGTGATACATGCATTCATATCACAGAGTTAAACAATTCTTTGGAATTGGTATTTTGGAAACCCTGTTTTTGTCTATCCTGTGAATGGACATTTGGGAGCTCATTGAGGCCAAGGCCAAAAAGTGAATATACCAGGATAAAAACTAGAAGGAAAGTATCTGAGAAACCCCTTTGTGATGTCTGCATTCATCTCACAGGTTTAAAATTTGCTTTTCTTTCCTTAGTTTGGAAAAACTTCCTTATAGAATCAGTGAAGGTATTTCAGGGAGCGCATTGAGGTCTATCAGAAAAAGGAATGATCCTCAGATAAAAACTAGAAAGAAGCTTTCTGAGAAACTGCTTTGTGATGTCCGTATTCATCTCACATAGTTCAAACACTCTTTGGATTCAGCAGTTAGGAAACACTGTTTTTGTCCTTTCTGTGAATGGACATTTGGGAGCTCATTGAGGCCAATGGCTAAAAATTGAATAACCCAGGAAAAAAAACTACAAGGAAGCTATCTGAGAAACCACTTTGTGATGTGTGCATTCATCTCACAGTTTTAATCCTTTCTTTCATTGAGCAGTTTGGAAACACAGTTTTTGTAGCATGAGCAAAGAGCTATTTTGTAGCACATTGAGACCTATGGTGAAAAAGGAAACATCTTTAGATAAAAACTAGAAAGAAGCTTTCTGAGAAACTGCTTTGTGATTGGTAATTTCATCTCACAGAATTAAAAATTTGTTTGGGTTCAGCAGTTTGGAAACACTGTTTTTGTCCATTTTGCAAATGGACATTCGGTAATTCATTGAGGCCAATGGTGAAAAAGTGAATATTCCAGGATAAAAACTAGAAAGAAGCTATCTGAGAGACTGCTTTGTGAAATGTGCATTTATATCACAGAGTTAAAGTTTGATTTTCTTTCAGTAGTTTGGAAACACTGTTTTTGTAGAATATGTGAAGGGATATTTGGGAGCGTATTAAGGCCAATGGTGAAAAAGGAATGATTATCAGATAAAAACTAGAAAGAAACTTTCTGAGAAACTACTTTGTGATGTGTGCATTCATCTCACAGTTAAACCTTACTTTGGATTCTGCAGTTTGGAAACACTGTTTTTCTCCATTCTACTAATGGACATTTGGGAGCTCATTGAGGCCAATGGTGAAAAAGTGAATATCCCAGGATAAAAAATAGAAAGAAGCCTTCTGAGAAACTGCTTTGTGATGTGTGCATTCATTTCACATAGTTACCTTTCTTTTGAATGAGAAGTTTGGAAACATTGTTTTGGTAGAACCTGTGAAGGGGTATTTGTGAGCGCATTAAGGTCTATGGTGAAAAGGGAAGCATATTCAGAGAAATAGTAGAAACAAGCTTTCTGAGAAACCGCTTTGTGATATGTGCATTCATCTCACAGAGTTAAACATTTCTTTTAATTCAGCATTTTGGAAACACTCTTTTCGTCCATAAGCGAATGGACATTTTTGAGCTCACTGAGGTGAATGGTTAAAAAGCAAGTATCCCAGGATAAAAACTAGAGGGAAACTATCTGAGAAACCAAGTTGTGATGTGTGCATTCATCTGGCACAGTTAATCCTTTCTTTTCATTCAGCAGTTTGGAAATGTGCTTGTGGAATCTCCAAGGGGATATGTGAAAGCATGTTGAGGCCTATAGTGAAAAAGGAAACATCTTCAGACGAAACTAGAAAGAAGCTTTCTGAGAAACTACTTTGAGATGTGTTCATTCATCTAACTGAGTTAACACTTTCTTGGATTCATCTATTTGGGAACACTGTTTTTGTTCATTCTGCAAATGGACAAATGGGAACTCATTGGGGCCAATTGCAGAAAAGAGAATATTCTGGGATAAAAACTTTAAGGTTGATGTCTGAGAAACTGCTTTGTCATGTGTGCATTCATCTCACAGAGTTAAAAATTTCTTTTTTCAGCAGTTTAGAAACACTGTTTTTGTGCATTCTAGGAATGGACATTTGTGAGCTCATTGAGGCCAATGGCCAAAAAGCAAATATCCCAGGATAAAAAATAGAAGGATGACATCTGAGAAACTGCTCTGTGATGTGTCCATACATCTTGCAGAGTTAAACATTTCTTTTCATTCAACAGTTTGGAAACACTGTTTTTGTAGTATCTACAAAGGGATATTTCAGAATGCATTGAGATATATGGTGAAAAAGGAAACACATTCAGACAAAAACTAGAAAGAAGATTTCAGAGAAACTGCTTTGTGATGTATGCATTCATCTCAAGGAGACAAATCTTTCTTTGGATTCAGCAGTTTGGAAACACTGTTTTTGTCCATTCTACAAATGGACTTTTAAAATCTCATTGAGGCCAATAGCGAAAAGGCAACTATCCCAGGATAAAAAGTAGAAGGAAGCTATCTGAGAAACTGCTTTGTGATGTGTGCCTTAATCTCGTGGATTTAAACCTTTCTTTTAATTCAGCCTATTGGAAACAGTTTTTATAGAACCTGTGAAGGGATATTTGGGAGTGCATCGAGGCCTACGGTGAAAAGGAAACATCTTCAGATAACAAATAGAAAAAAGCTTTATGAGAAATTGCTTTGTGATGTGTGCATTCATCACACAGAGGTAAATCTTTCTTTCAATTCAGCAGTTTGGAAACACTGTTTTGGAGATCATTGAGGCCAATGGTGAAAAAGTGAATATCCCAGGATAAAAATTTGAAGGAACCCACCTAAGGAATCTCTTTGTGATGTGTACATTCATGTCACAGAGTTAAACCTTTCTTTTCATTCAGCAGTTTGGAAACACTGTTTTTCTAGAATCTGGGAAGGGATATTTAGGAGTGCATTGAGGACTATTGTGAAAAAGGCACAATTTTCAGATAAAAACTAGAAAGAAGCTTTCTGAGAAACTGCTTTGTGGTGTGTGCATTCACCTTACAGAATTAAAATTTTCTTTGCATTCAGCAGTTTGGAAAGACTGTTTCTGTCCATTCTATGAATGGACATTTGGGAACTCATTGAGGCCAAAGGCAAAAAAACGATTAAACAAGGATAAAAACTACAAAGAAGCTATCAGAGAAACTACTTTGTGATGTATGCATTCATCTCACGTATTTAAACACTTTCTTTCACACAACAGTTTGGAAACACGGTTTTGGTAGAATATGTGAAGAGATATTTGAAAGCTCATAGAGGTCCATGTTGAAAAAGGAAACATCTTCAAATAAAAATTAGAAAGAAAATTTTGGTGAAACTTCTTTCTGAGTTGTCCATTCATCTCACAGTGTTAAACCTTTCTTTTGATTCAGCTGTTTGGAAACACTGTTTTGTGCATTCTGCAAATGGACGTATGGGAGCTCATGGAGGCCAATGGTGAAAAAGGGAATACACCAGGATAAAAAATAGAAGGAAGCTATCTGATAAATTGTTTTTTGTTGTGCATTCATCTCACAGAGTTAAACATTCCTTTTCATTCAGCAGTTTGGAAGTACTGTTTTTTCAGAATCTGCGATGGGATATTTTGGAGTGCATTGAGGCCTACAATGATAGAGGAAACATCTTCAGTTAAAAACTGGAAAGAAACTTTCTGAGAGACTGCTTTGTGATTTGTGCATTCATGTCACAGAGTTAAACCTCTCTTTGCATTCAGCTGTTTGGAAACACTATTTTTGCAGAATCTGGGAAGGGATATTTGCGAGCTCATTGAGGACTATGGTGAAAAAGGAAACATCTTCAGAGAAAAACCAGAAAGAACTTTTCCGAGACACTGCTTTGTGATGTGTGCATTCATCTCACAGTTAAACCATACTTTAGATTCTGCAGTTTGGAAACACTGCTTTTGTCCATTCTGCGAATGCACATTTGTGAGCTCCTTGAGGCCAATGGTGAAAAAGCAAATATCAGAGGATAAAAACTAGAAATAAGCTATCTGAGAAACTGCTTTTGTTGTGTGCATTCATCTTGCAGAGTTAAACCTTTCTTTTAATTCAGTAGTTTGGAAACACTGTTTTTGTCCATTCTGCAAATGGACATTTTGGAGAACATTGAGGCCAATGGTGAAAAACAAATATCCCAGGATAATAAATAGAAGGGAGCCCACTGAGAAACAGCTTTGTTATGTATGCACTCATCTTGCAGCATTAAACCTCACTTTTCCTTCAGCAGATTAGAAAGACTGTTTTTGTAGAATCTGCAAAGGGATATTTGGGAGTGCTTTGAAGCATATGGTGAAAAAGGAAATATCTTAAGATAAAAACTAGAAAGAAGCGCTCTGAGAAACTGCTTTGTGATGTGTGCATTCATCTCACAGAGATGAAACTTTCTTTGGTTTCCGCAGTTTGGAAACACTGTTTTTGTCCGTTGTGTGAGTGGACATTTGGGAGCTCATTGAGGCCAATGGTGAAAAAATGAATATCCCAAGATAAAAACTAGAAGGAAGCTAGCTGAGAAACCACTTTGTGATAAGTGCATTCATCTCACAGAGATAAATCTTTCTTTCCATTTGGCAGTTTGGAAACAAAGTTTTTGTAGAATCTGCAAAGGGATACTTTGGAGTGCATTGAGACCTATTGTGAAAAAGGAAAAAGCTTCAGATAAAACTAGAAAGAAGATTTATAAGAAACTGCTTTGTTTTGTGAAGATTCATCACACAGAATTAAACCTTTCTTTGGATACAATGGTTTGGAAACACTGTTTTTGTCCATTCTGCAAATGGAGATTTGGGAACTCATTGAGGCCAATGAAGAAAAAGGGAGTATCCCAGGATAAAAGCTAGAAGGAAACTATCTGAGAAATCGCTTTGTGATGTGTGCATTCGTCTCAGAGATTTAAACAGTTCTTTTCATTCAACAGTTTGAAAATCTGTTTTTGTAGAATCTGCAAAGAGGTATTTGGGAGTGCATTGAGGCAGATAGTTGAAACATCTTCAGACAAAAACAAGAAAGAAGCTCTCTGATAATTTGCTTTGTGATGCATGCATTCATCTCACAAAGTTAAAACTTTCCTTTGAAAACATTCTTTTAGTTCATTCTGTGAATGGAAATTATGGAGCTCATTGAGGCCAATGGGGATAAATCATATATTCCAGGATAAAAACTATAAGGTAGCTATCTGAGAAATTGCTTTTTGAAATGTACCTTCATCTTGTATAGTTAGATTTCTCTTTTCATTCAGCAGAATGCAAACACTGTATTTCTAGAATCTGCCAAGGGATATTTTGGAGCACATTAAGTCCTATTGTGAAAAAGGAAATATCTTCAGAGGAAAAGTGGAAAGAAGTTTTCTGAGAAACTGCTTTGTGGTGGGTGCACTCATCTCACAGACATACAGTTTCTTTTTGTTCAGCAGTTTTGAAAACACTGTTTTTGTAGAATCTATGAAGGGATATTTGAGAGCATATTGGGGCTTATGCTGAAAAAGGAAATATCTTCACATAAAAGATACAAAGAAGATCTCTGAGAAAATGCTTTGTGATGTGTGCATTCATCTCACACAGACATAACTTTCTTTTATGAAGCAGTTTGGAAACACATTTTTTGTAGAATCTGCAAAGGCATATTTGGGAACACGTTGATGTCTATGGTGAAAAAGGAAATATCTTCAGAGAACTAGAAAGAAGCTTTCTGAGAAACTGCTTTGTGATGTGTGCAGTCAACTCACAGAGTTAAATGATTCTTTTGGTGTAGTAGTTTGGAGACACTCTTTTTGGAGTATCTGTGGGTGGATATTTGGGAGCACATTGAGGCCTACGGTGAAAAAGGAAATACCTTCTGATAAAAACAAGAGAAAAAGTTTCTGAGAAACTGCTTTGTGATGTGTGCTTTCATCTCACATAGATAAACCTTTCTTTTCATTGCACTGTTTGGAAACACTCTTTTTGTACAATCTGTGAAGGGATATTTGGGAGTGCATGTAGGCCTATAGTGAAAAAGAAAATATATTTAGAGAAAAAATTGAAAGAAACTTTCTGAGAAACTGCTTTGAGAAGCGTGCATTCATCTCCCTGAGTTAAACCTTTCTTTTGATAGAGCAGTTTGGAAACACTGTTTTTGTAGAATCTGCAAAGGGATACTTGGGAGTGCATTGAGGAATATGCTGAAAAAGGAAATAACCTCAGAGAGAAACTAAGAAGCTTTCTGAAAAAATTCTTTGTGATGAGTGCATTCATCTCATGGAGTTAAATCTTTCTTTTTGTGGAACACTTTGGAAACACAGTTTTTGTAGAATCTGGAAAGGGATAATTGGGAGTACATTGAGGGCTATTGTGAAATAGGAAACACCTTCAGAGAAAAAATAGAAAGATGCTTTCTGAGAAACTGCTTTGTGATGTATGCATTCATCTCACAGAGTTAAACTTATCTCTTGATGGAGTTGTTTGAAAACACTGTTTTCATAGAATCTGCCAAAGGATATTTGGGAGCACATTGAGGCCTATGGTGAATAAGGAAATAACATCAGAGAAGAAATAGAAAGAAGCTTTCTAAGAAATTGCTTTGTATTGAGTGCAGTCGGCTCACAGAGTTAAACATTTCTTTTGATGGAGCAGTTTGGAGACACGGTTTCTGTAGAATCTGCGGAGGGATATTTGGAAGCGCATTGAGACCTACAGTGAAAATGGATATATCTTTAGAGAAAAACTATAAAGAAGCTTTCTGAGTGACTGCTTTGTGATGTATGCATTCATCTCACACAGTTAAACCTTTCTTTTGATGGAGTGGTTTGGAAACATTTTTTCTACAATCTGCGAAGGGGTATTTCGGAGCACCATGAGACCTATGGTTAAAAAGGAACAATCTTAAGAGAAAAGCTACAAAGAAATATTTAGATAAACTGATTTGTGATGTGTGCATTCATCTCACAGATGTAAACCTTTCTTTTGCATGAGCAGTTTGGAAACACTGTTTTTGTATTATTTGCAAAGGGATATTTGGGAGCGCTTGGAGGCCTATGTTGTAAAAGGAATTATCTTCACAAACAAGCTATAAAGAATCTTTTGGAGAAACTGCTTTGTGATGTGTTCATCCCCCTCACAGAATTAAACCTTTCTTTCTGTGGAGCAGTTTGGAAACAATGTTTTTGTAGAGTCTATGAAGGGATATTTCAGAGCACTTTGACTCCTATGGTGAAAAAGGAAATATCTTCAGAGAAAAACTAGAAAGAAGCTTTGTGAGAAACTGCTTTCAGTTGTGTGGATTCATCTCACAGAGTTAAACCTTTCTCTTGATGGAGCAATTTGGAAACACTGTTTTTGAATAATCTGCAAAGGGATATTTGGGAGCACATTGAAGCCAATGGTGAGAAAGGAAGTATCTTTAGATAAAAACACCATAGAAACCTTCTGAGAGACTGCTTTTTTATACGTGCATTCATTTCACAGGGTTAAATTTTTCTATTGATGGAGCTGTTTGGAAACACCGTTTTTGTAGAATTTGTGAAGGGATATTTTGGAGCGCATTGAGGCCTACGATGAAAAAGGAAACATCTTCAGAGAAAAACGAGAAAGAAACATTCTGAGCTACTGCTTTATAATGGGTCCATTCATCTCACAGACTCAAACCTTTCTTTTGATTGAGCAGATTGGAAACACTGTTTTTATACGATCTGCAAAGTCATATTTGGGAGTGCCTTGAGGACTATGGTGAGAAAGGAAATATCATCAGAATAACATTAGAAAGAAGTTTTCTGAGAAACTGATTTGTGATGTGGGCATTCATCTCACAAAGATAAACTTTTCTTTTGATGGTGCAGTTTGGAAACACTATTTTGTAGAATCTGCTAAAGCATATTTGGGAGTGAATTGAGGTCTATTGTGAAAGAGGAAATATCTTGAGAGAAAAAATAGAAATAACTTTTCTGAGAAACTGCTTTGGGACGTATGCATTTATCTCACATAGTATAACTTTCTTATGATGGAGCAGTTTGGAAACACTGTTTTTCTTTATTTTATTTTATTTTATTATTATTATACTTTAAGTTTTAGGGTACATGTGAACAATGTGGAGGTTAGTTACATATGTATATATGTGCCACGCTGGTGTGCTGCACCCATTAACTCGTCATTAAGCATTAGGTTCATCTCCTAAAGCTATCCCTACCCCCTACCCCCACCCCACAACAGTCCCCAGAGTGTGATGTTTCCCTTCCTGTGTCCATGTGTTCTCATTGTTCAATTCCCATCTATGAGTGAGAATATGTGGCATTTGGTTTTTCGTTCTTGCAATAGTTTACTGAGAATGATGATTTCCAGTTTCATCCATGTCCCTACAAAGGACATGAACTCATCATTTTTTATGGCTGCATATTATTCCATGGTGTATATGTGCCACATTTTCTTAATCCAGTCTATCGCTGTTGGACATTTGGGTTGGTTCCAAGTCTTTGCTATTGTGAATAGTGCCGCAATAAACATATGTGTGCATGTGTCTTTATGGCAGCATTATTTATAATCCTTTGGGTACATACCCAGTAATGGGATGGCTGGGTCAAATGGTATTTCTGGTTCTAGATCCCTGAGGAATCCCACACTGACTTCCACAATAGTTGAACTAGTTTACAGTCCCACTAACAGTGTAAAAGTGTTTGTATTTCTCCACATCCTCTCCAGCACCTGTTGTTTCCTGACTTTTTAATGATTGCCATTCTAACTGATGTGAGATGGTATCTCATTGTGGTTTTGATTTGCTTTTCTCTGATAGCCAGTGATGGTGAGCATAGATCAATGGAACAGAACAGAGCCCTCAGAAATAATGCTGCATATAGAAAACTATCTGATCTTTGACAAACCTGAGAAAAACAAGCAATGGGGAAAGGATTCCTTATTTAATAAATGGTGCTGGGAAAACTGGCTAGCCATATGTAGAAAGCTGAAACTGGATCCCTTCCTTACACCTTATACAAAAATTAATTCACGATGGATTAAAGACTTAAGTGTTAGACCTAAAACCATAAAAACCCTAGAAGAAAACCTAGGCATTACCATTCAGGACATAGGCATGGGCAAAGACTTCATGTCTAAAACACCAAAAGCAATGGCAACAAAAGCCAAAATTGACAAATGGGATCTAATTAAACTGAAGAGCTTCTGCACAGCAAAAGAAACTACCATCAGAGTGAACAGGCAACCTACAAAATGGGAGAAAATTTTCACAACCTACTCATCTGACAAAGGGCTAATATCCAGAATCTACAATGAACTCAAACAAATTTACAAGCAAAAAACAAAGAACCCCATCAAAAAGTGGGTGAAGGACATGAACAGACACTTCTCAAAAGAAGACATTTATGCAACCAAAAAACACATGAAAAAATGCTCACCATCACTGGAAACACTGTTTTTCATAGAATCTGTGAGGGGATATTTGTGAGCATATTGAGGCCTTTTTTGAAAAAGGAAATATCTTCACAGTAAAACTAGAAAGAAGATTTCTGAGGAACTAATTTGTTATGTGTGCATTCACCTCACAGAGTTAAGCCTTTGTTTTGATGGAGAAGCTAGAAAACACTGTTTCTGTGGAAACTGCAAAGGCATATTCGGGATTGCATTGAAGCCTATGGCAAAAAAGGAAATATCCTCAGATAAAAACTAGAAAGAATCTTTCTGAGAAACTGCTTTGTGATGTGAGCATTCTTCTCAGAGTTAAACTTTTCTTTTGATTGTGCAGTTTGGAAACAGTGTTTTTGTGGAATCTGTGAAGGGATATCTGGGAGGGTATTGTGGCCTATGTTCAAAAGGGAAATATCTTTAGATAAAAACTAAAAAGAAGCTTTCAGAAATGGCTTTGTGAAGTGTGCATTCATCTCACAGAGATAAACTTACTTTTGACGGAACTGTTTGGAAACCCTGCTTTTGTAGAATCTGCAAAGTGTTACTGGGGAGTGCATTGAGGCCTATTGTGAAAAGAAAATATCTACCGAGAAAAACTAGAAAGAAGCTTTCTGAAGAACTGCTTTGTGATGTGTGCATTCATCTCACAGAGTTAAATCTTTAGTTTTATTGAGCAGTTTGTAAACACTGTTTTTGTAGAATCAGCAAAGGGATATTTGGGAGCACATTGAGGCCTATTGTCAAAAAGGGTATATCTTCAGGTAAAAACTAGAAAGATTTTTGAGGAATTGCTTTGTGATGTGTGCATTCATCCCACAGACTTAAACCTTTCTTTTCATTCTACATGTTGGAAACTGTGCTTTTGTAGAATCTGCAAAGGGATATTTGGGAGCACATTGGGGACCATTTTGAAAAAGGAAACATCTTCAGATTAAAAACTAGAAAGAAACTTGCTGAGAAACTGCTTTGTGATAAGTGCACTCATCTCGCAGAGTTAAACCTTTCTTTTGATGGAGCTCTTTGGAAACACTCTTTCTGTACTCTCTGCAAAGTCATATTTGGGAGCGCATTGATGTCTACAGTGAAAAAAGAAATATCTTCAGCTAAAAACTAGAAAGAAGCTTTTCAGAAACTGCTTTGTGATGTGTGCACTCATCTCGCAGAGTTAAACCTTTCTTTTGATGGAGCTCTTTGGAAACACTCTTTCTGTACTCTCTGCAAAGTCATATTTGGGAGCGCATTGAGGTCTATGGTGAAAAAAGAAATATCTTCAGCTAAACACTAGAAAGAAGCTTTTCAGAAACTGCTTTGTGATGTGTGCATTCATCTCACAGTGATAAACCTTTCTTTGATGGAGTAGTTTGGAAACACCTTTTTTGTAGGATCGGCCAAGGGATATTTTGAAGGGCATAGAGGCCTGTGGTGAAAAAGGAAATATCTAGAGGGTAAAACGGGAAGAAGCATTGTGAGAATCTGCTTTGTGATGAGTGCATTCTTCTCACGGACTCAAACCTTTCTTTTGATTGAGCAGTTAGGAAACACTGTTTTTGAGGAATTTCTGGAGGGATATTTTGGAGTGCAACGATGCTGATTTTGAAAAAGTAAATATCTTCAGAGAAAAACTACAAAGAAACTTTCAGAAAAAATGCTTTCTGATGAGTGCATTAATCTCACAGATTTAAACATCTTTTGATGGAGCAATTTGGAAACACTGTTTTCGTAGAATCTGCGAAGGGATAATTGGGAGCATATTGTGGCCTACGGTGAAAAAGGAAATATCTTCATTTTAAAAGTTAAAAGAAGCTTTCTGAGACACGACTTTGTGATGTGTGCATTCATCGCACACAGATAAACCTTTCTGTTGATGGAGCTGTTAGGAAACAGGGTTTTTGTAGAATCTGTGAAGGGTTATTTGTGAGCACATTGGGGCCTATGGTGAAAAGGAAAAATCTACAGAGAAAAACTTGACAGAAGCTTTCTAATAAAATGCTTTGTGATGTGTACATTCATCTAACAGTGTTAAAACTTTAGTATGATTGAGCAGTTTGGAAACACTGGTTTTGTAGAATCAGCAAAGGGATATTTGGGAGCACATTGAGGCCTATTATCAAAAAGGATATATCTTCAGATAGAAAGTTGAAAGATGCTTTGTGAGGATTGCTTTGTCATGTGTGCATACATCTCCCACAGTTAAACCTTTCTCTTTTTTATTATTATACTTTAAGTTTTAAGGTACCTGTCCACAACATGCAGGTTTGTTACATACATATACGTGTTCTATGTTGGTGTGCTGCACCCATTAACTGGTCATTTAGCATTAGGTATATCTCCTAAAGCTATCCCTCTCCACTCCCCCTACCCCACAAGAGGCCCTGGTGTGTGATGTTCCACTTTCTGTGTCCATGTGCTCTCATTGTTCAATTCCTCCCTTTGAGTGAGAACATGCAGTGTTTGTTTTTTTGTTCTTGTGTTAGTTTGCTGAGAATGATGGTTTCCAGCTTCATCCATGTCCCTACAAAGGATGTGAACTCATCATTTTTTATGGCTGCATCATATTCCATGGTGTATATGTGTCACATTTTCTTAATCCAGTCTATCATTGTTGGACATTTGGGTTGGTTCCAAGTCTTTGCTATTGCGAATGGTGCCACAATAAACATACGTGTGCATGTGTCTTTATAGCAGCATGATTTATAGTCCTTTGGGTATATACCCAGTAATGGGATGGATGGGTCAAATAGTATTTCTAGTTCTAGATCCCTGAGGAATCCCTACACTGACTTCCACAATGGTTGAACTAGTTTACAGTCCCATCAACAGTGTGAAAGTATTCCTATTTCTCCACATCCTCTCCAGCACCTGTTGCTTCCTGACTTTTTAGTGATCATCATTTTAACTGCTGTGAGATGGTATCTCATTGTGGTTTTGATTTGCATTTCTCTGATGGCCAGTGATGATTAGCATTTTTTCATGTGTTTTTTGGCTGCATAAATGTCTTCTTTTGAGAAGTGCCTGTTCATATCATTTGCCCACTTTTTGATGGGGTTGTTTGTTTTTTTCTTGTAAGTTTGTTTGAGCTAATTATAGATTCTTGATGTTAGCCCTTTGTCAGATGAGTAGGTTGCGAAAATTTTCTCTGGTTCTGTAAGGTTGCCTGTTCACTCTAATGGTGGTTTCTTTTTCAGTGCAGAAGCTCTTTAGTTTAATTAAATCCCATTTGTCAATTTTGGCTTTTGTTGCCATTGCTTTTGGTATTCTAGACATGAAGTCCATGCCCATGCCTATGTCCTGAATGGTATTGCCTAGGTTTTATTCTAGGGTTTTTATGGTTTTAGGAATAACATGTAAGTCTTTAATGCATCTTGAATTAATTTTTGTGTAAGGTGTAAGGAAGGGATCCAGTTTCAGCTTTCTACATATGGCTAGCCAGTTTTCCCAGCACCATTTATTAAATAGGGAATCCTTTCCCCATTGCTTGTTTTTCTCAGGTTTGTCAAAGATCAGATGGTTGTATATATGCAGCATTATTTCTGAGGGTTCTGTTTTGTTCCATTGGTCTATATCTCTGTTTTGGTGTCAGCACCATGCTGTTTTGGTTACTGTTGCCCTGTAGTACAGTTTGAAGTCAGGTAGCGTGATTCCTCCAGCTTTGTTCTTTTGGCTTAGGATTGACTTGTCTTTGTGGGCTCTTTTTTGGTTCCATATGAACTTTAAAGTAGTTTTTTCCAAGTGGTAGCTTGATGGGGATGGCATTGAATCTGTAAATTACCTTTGGCAATATGGCCATTTTCACTATATTGTTTCTTCCTAACCATGAGCATGGAATGTTCTTCCATTTGTTTGTATCCTCTTTTACTTCATTGAGCAGTGGTTTATAGTTCTCCTTGAAGAGGTCCTTCATGTCCCTTGTAAGTTGGATTCCTAGGTATTTTATTCTCTTTGAAGCAATTGTAAATAGGTGTTCACTCATAATATGGCTGTCTGTCTGTGTTTATTTGTGTATAAGAATGCTTGTCATTTTTGCACATTGATTTTGTATCCTGCGACTTTGCTGAAGTTGCTTATCAGCTTAAGGAGATTTTGGGCTGAGACGATGGGGTTTTCTAGATATACAATCATGTCATCTGCAAACAGGGACAATTTGACTTCCTCTTTTCCTAATTGAATGCATTTTATTCCTTTCTCCTGCCTGATCGCCCTGGCCAGAACTTCCAACACTATGTTGAATAGGAGTGGTGAGAGAGGGCATCCCTGTCTTGTCCCAGTTTTCAAAGGGAATGCTTCTAGTTGTTGTCCATTCAGTATGATATTGGCTGTGGGCTTGTCATAGACAGCTCTTGTTATTTTGAGATACGTCCCATCAATACCTGATTTTTTGGGAGTTTTTAACATGAAAGTTTGTTGAATTTGGTCAAAGGCCTTTTCTGCATCTATTGAGATAATCATGTGTTTTTTGTGTTTGGTTCTGTTTATATGCTGGATTACCTTTCATGATTTCCATATGTTGAGCCAGCCTTGCATCCCAGGGATGAAGCCCACTTGATCATGCTGGATAAGCTTTTTGATGTGTTGCTGGATTCGTTTTGCCAGTATTTTATTGAGGATTTTTGCATCAATGTTCATCAAGGATATTGGCCTAAATTCCCTTTTTTTGTTGTGTCTCTGCCAGGCTTTGATATCAGGATGATGTTGGCCTCATAAAATGAGTTAGGGAGGATTCCCTCTTTTTCTATTGATTGGAATAGTTTCAGAATGAATGGTATCAGCTCTTCCTTGTACCTCTGGTAGAATTCGGCTGTGAATCTGTCTGGTCCTGGACTTTTTTTGGTTGGTGAGCTATTAATTATTGCCTCAATTTCAGAGCCTGTTATTGGTGTATTCAGAGATTCAACTTCTTTCTTGTTTAGTCTTGGGAGGGTGTATGTGTTGAGGAATTTATCCATTTCTTCTAGATTTTCTAGTTTATTTGCACAGAGGTGTTTATAATATTCTCTGATGGAAGTTTGTATTTCTGTGGGATCGGTGGTGATATCCCCTTTATCATTTCTTATTTCATCTATTTGATTCTTCTCTCTTTTCTTCTTTATTAGTCTTGCTAGTGGTCTATCAATTTTGTTGCTGTTTTCAAAAAACCAGCTCCTGGATTCATTGATATTTTGAAGGGTTTTTGTGTCTCTGTTTCCTTTAATTCTGCTCTGATCTTAGTTATTTCTTGCCTTTTGCTAGCTTTTGAATGTGTTTGCTCTTCCTTCTCTAATTCTTTGATTTGTGATGTTAGAATTTGATGCAAAAATGTGAATAACCCAGGAAAGAAACTAGAATGAAGCTATCTGAGAAACTGCTTTGTGATGTGTGCATTCATCTCACAGATTTTTTCCTTTTTTTTTTCATTCAGCTGTTTGGAAATACTGTTTTTGTACAATCTGTGAAAGGATATTTTTGAGTGCATTGAGGCTGTTGGTCAAAAAGGAAACATCTTCATATAAGAACAAGAAAGAAGCATTTTGAGAAACTGCTTTGATGTGTGGACATTCATCTCAAATAGTTAAAACTTTCTTTTTCATTCATCAGTTTGGAAACTGTTTTTGTCCATTCTGTGAATGGACATTTGGGATCTCATTGATGCCAATGGTGAAAAAGTAAATGTCCCAGGAAAAGTAGAAGGAAGCTCTCTGAGAGACCACTTTGTGAACTGGACATTAACATCACAGAGTTAAACTTTCCTTTTCATTCAGCAGTTTGGAAACACTGTCTTGGTCGGTTTTATGAAGGGATATTTTGGAGCACCTTTAGGCCTAGGGTGAAAAGGGAAACATCTTCAGATAAAAAGTAGAAAGAAGCTTTTTGAGAAACTGTTTTGTGATGTGTGAATTCATCTCACAGAGATAAAAGTTTCTGTGTATTCAGCAGTTTGGAAACACTCGTTTTTTTCCATCCTGCAAATGGACGTTTCGGAGATCATTGAGGCCTATAGCAAAAATCTAATATTCCAGGATAAAAACTAGCAGGAAGCTATCTGATAAACTGCTTTGTTCATGTCTGCATTCATCTCACAGAGGTAAAAATGTCTTTTCATTCAGGAGTTTGGAAACACTGTTTTTGTAGAATCTGCGAAAGGATATTTGGGAGTGCATTGAGGCCTATTGTGGAAAAGGAATTGTCTTCAGATAAAAACTAAACAGAAGACTTCTGAGAAACTGTTTGTGATGTGTGCATTCATTACACAGGGTTAAACCTTTCTTTGGATTCAGTAGTTTGGAAACCTGTCTTTGCCCATTCTGCAAGTGGACCTTTGGGAGCTCATTGAGGTCAATGGCGAAAAAGCTAATAACACAGGATAAAAACTAGAAGGAAGCTGTCTGAGAAGCCACTTTTTGATGCGTGCATTCATTTTGCAGATTTAATCCTTTCTTTTCATTCAGCAGTTTGGAAACACCTGTTTTTGTAGAATCTGCAAAGGAATATTTGTTTGTGCATAGACACCTATGGTGAAAAAGGAAACATCTTCATATAAAAATTAGAAAGAAGCTTTTTGAGAAACTGCTTTGTGATGTGTGCATTCATCTCACAGAGTTAAATGTTGTTTTTGATTCAGTACTTTGGAAACATTGTTTTTGTCCATTCTGTGAATGGACATTTTTGAGCTCTTTGAGGCCAATGGTGAAAAAGTGAATATCACAGGATAAAAACTACAAGGAAGCTATCTGAGAAACCACTTTGTGATGTGTGCATTCACGTCACAGAGTTAAACTTTTCTTTTCATTTAGCTGTTTGGAAACACTTTTTTTGGAAAATCTGTGAAGGGATATTTGGGAGTGCATAGAGGCCTATGTTGAAAAACATCTTCAGAGAGAAACTAGAAAGATGCTCTTTCAGAAACTGCTTTGTGATGTGTGTTCATCTCACAGAGTTAAACCTTTTATTAATTCAGCAGTTTGGAAACACTCTTTTCGTCTATTCTGTGAATGGACATTTGTGAGCACATTGAGGTGAATGGCAAAAAAGCAAATATCCCAGGATAAAGACTAGAAGGAAACTACCTGAGAAACTGCTTTGTGATGTGCGCATTAGTCCAGCAAAGTTAAACCTTTCTTTTCATTCAGCAGTTTGGATCCACTGATTTCTTGAATCGGTGAAGGGATATTTGGGAGTACATTAAGGCCAATGTTGTAAAAGGAAACATCTTCAGGTAAAAATTAAAAAGAAGTTTTCTGACAAACTGATTTGTGACGTGCACATTCATCTGTGAGTTAAACTGTACTTCAGATTCGGCAGTTTGGAAACACTGTTTTTGTGCATTCTGCAAATGCACATTTGAGAGCTCCTTGAGACCAATGGTGAAAAAGTGAATATCCCAGGATAAAAACTAGAAGGAAGCTCTCTGAGAAACTGCTTTGTGTTGTGGGCATTCATCCCGCAGAGTTAAACCTTTCTTTGCACTCAGCAGTGTGGAAACACTGCTTTTGTTGAATCTGAGAAGGTATATTTGGCAGCACATAGCGAGCTATGTTGAAAAAGAAACATCTTCAGGGAGAAACTAGGAAGAAGCTCTCTGAGAAACTGGTTTAGGATGTGTGCTTTCATCTCACAGAATTAAAACTTTCCTTTATTTCTGCAGTTTGGAAACACTTTTCGTCTATTTTGTGAATGGATATTTTTGAGCTCGTTGAGGTCAATGGTGATAGAGCAAGTATCCCAGGATAACAAATAGAAAGAATGTATCTGCGAAAGTGCTTTGTGATGTGTGCATTAATCTCGCACAATTAAACCTTTCTTTTCATTCAGCAGTTTGGTAACACAGTTTTTGTGCATTCTGCAAATGCACATTGGGGAGCTCAATGCGGCCAAAGGCGATAAAGCAATATCCCAGGATAAAAACTAGAAGGAAGCTATTTGATAAACAGCATTCTGATGTGTGTATTCATCTCACAGATTTAAAACTGTCTTTTCTTTCATCAGTTTGGAAACACTGTAATTGCAGCATCTGCCAAGGGATATTTGGGAGTGCATTGAGGCCTATGGTGAAAAAGAAAATATCTTCAGATAAAAACAAGATAGAAGCTATCTGAAAACCTGCTTTGTTATGTGTGCATTCTTCTCACAGTGTTAAACCTTTCTGTGGATTCAGCAGTTAGGAAACACTCTTTTTGACCATTCTGCAAATAGAAATTAGAGCTCTCATTGAGGCCAATAACAAAAAGGCAAATACACCAGGTTAAAACTAGAAGGATGCTATTTGAGAAACCTCATTGCGATGTGTGCATTCACCTCACAGAGTTAAACCTTTCTTTCCATTCAGCACTTTGGAAACACTGTTTTTGTAGAATCTGTGAAGGGATATTTGGGAGCACTTTGAGACTTATGGTGAAAAAGGAAATTTCTCCATATAAAACTGGAAAGAAGCTTTCTGAGAAACTGCTTTGTGATGTGTGCACTCATCTCACAGAGTTAATCCTTTCTTAGGATTCAGCAATTTGGAAACACTGTTTTTGTCCATTCTGTGAATGGATATTTGAGAGCTCATTGAGGCCAATGTTGAAAAAGTGAATATCCCAGGGTAAAAACTAGAAGGAAGCTCTCTGAGAAACCAGTCTGTGATGTCTCCATTCACCTCGCAGAGTTAAACATTTCTTTTTATTCAGCAGTTTGGAAACACTGTTTTGTACAATCTGCAAATGGATATTTGCGAGCACTTTGACGCTTATGGTGAAAAAGGAAACATCTTCTGATAAAAACTAGAAAGAAGATTTCTGAGAAACTGCTTTGTGATTTTTGCATTCATCTTATAGAGTAAAACATTTCTTTGGATTCAGCAGTTTGTAAACACTGTTTGCCCATTCAACGAATGGACTTTTGGGAATTCATTGATGCCAATGCCATAAAAGTGAATACACCAGGATAAAAACTAGAAGGAAGCTCTATGAGAAACTGCTTTGGGATATGTGCCTTCATATTGCAGAGTTATCCTATTCTTTTCATCAGCAGTTTTGAATCATTGTTTAGGTAGATTCTGTGAAGAGATATTTGGGAGTGCATTGAGTCCTATGCTGAAAAAGGAATCTTCTTTAGATAAAAACAAGAAGGAAGCTTTCTGAGAAACTGATTTGTGTTGTGCACAATCAGCTCATAGAATTAAACCATTCTTTGGGTTCAGCAGTTTGGAAACACTGTTTTTTTGTCCATTTTGTGAAATGGACTTTGGGGGTTCATTGAGGCCAAAGCCAAAAATGTGAATATCCCAGGATAAAAACTAGAAAGAAGCTTTCTCAGAAACTGCTTTGTGATGTGTACATTCATCTCAAAAGTTAAACTTTTCATTGGATTCAGCAGTTCGAAAACACTGTTTTTCTCCATTGTGTGAAAGTACATTTGGGAGTTCATTGAGACCAATGGCAAAAGTGTGAATATCCCAGGATAAAAAATAGAAGGAAGGTACCTGAGTCACTGCTTTGTGGTGTGTGCATTCAATACTCAGAGTTAAAACATTTTTATTCAGCAGTTTGGAAACACCTTTTTGTGGAATCAGCAAAGGGATATCTGGCAGTGCATTGAATCCTATGGTGAAAAAGAGGCATCCTCAGATAAAAACAAGAAAGAAGCCCTCAGAGAAACTACTTTGTGACATGCACATTCATCTCACAGTTTTAAACCTTTCTTTGGATTCAGCACTTTGGAAACACTGTTTTTGTACATTCTGCAAAGGGATATTTGGCAACACATTTAGGCCTATGATGAAAAAGGAAACATCTTCAGATAAAACTAGAAAGAAGGTTTCAGAGAAACTGCTTTTTGAAGTGTGTATTAAAGAGTTAAACATTTCTTTGGATTCAGCAGTTTGGAAACAACGTTTTTGTCCATTCTGAGAATGGACATTTGAGAGCTCATTGAGGCCAAAGATGAAAAAATGAATATACCAGGATATAAACTAGAAGGAAGCTCTCTGAGAAAACACTTTCTGATGTGGGCATTCATCACTCGTCATTAAACCTTTCCTTTCAGTCAGCAGTTTGGGAACAGTGTTGTTGTAGTATCTGTGAAGGGATATTTGGGAACTCATTGAGGCCTATGGTGAAAAAGGAAACATCTTCAGCTAAAAACTAGAAAAAAATCTTTCTGAGAAACTGCTTTGTGACTTGTGCATTCATCTCACAGTTTTAAATCTTTCTTTTTATGTATCAGTTTGGAAACCCTCTATTTGTCCTACTGTCAATGAACATTCAGGATCTCATTTAAGACAATGGTGAAAAAGAGAATATTCCAGGATAAAAACTTGAGAGAAGCTCTCTGACAAATGGCTTTGTGATGTGTGCATTCATCTCACAGAGTTAAAACTTTCTTTTCATGCAGTAGTTTGGAAATACTGTTTTTGTAGAATCTGTGAAGGGATATTTGGGAGTGCATTGAGGCTTATGGTGAAACAGGAATCATCTTCAGATAAGAACTACGAAGAAGATTTCTGAGAAACTGCTTTGTGATTTGTGCATTCATCTCACAGAGTTATACATTTCTTTTGATGGAGCAGTTTGGAAGCACTGTTCTTGTAGAATTATGAAGGGATATTTTGGAGAGCATTTAGATCTATGGTGAAAAAATAAATATAGTCAGAGGAAAACTAGAAAGAACCTTTCTAGGAAACTACTTTGTGATGTGTGCATTCATCTCACATTATTAAATATTTCTTTCTGTTGAGCAGTTTGCAAACCCTGTTTTTGGAGAATCTGCAGAGGGATATTTGGAGCACATTGTGGCCTACAGTGAAAAAGGAAATATAATCAGAGAAAAACAAGAAGGATGCTTTCTGAGAAACTGATTTTTGATGTGCACATGCAACTCACAGAGTTAAACCTTTCCTTTGATGGAAGAGTTTGGAAACAGTGTTTTTGTAGAATCTGTGAAGGGATAATTGGGAGAACATTGAGCCTATGGTGAAAAAGGAAATATCTTCAGAGAAAAACTAGAAAGCAGCTTTCTGAGAAACTGCTTTGTGATGTTGTGCATTCATCTCACAGAGTTAAACCATTTTTTTGATTAAGCAGTTTGGAAACACAATTTTTGTAGAATCTGTGAAGGGATATTTGGGGGCACATTGAGGCAATGGTGAAAAAGGACATACCTTAAGAAAAAAATTGAAGGAAGCTATCTGAGAAACTGCTTTGTGATGTGTGCATTAATCTCACAGAGTTAAACCTTTATTTTGATTGAGTAGTTGGGAAACAATCTTTTTGTAGAATTTGCAAAGGGATATTTGGGAGCATATTGAAGCCTATCTTGAAAAAGGAAATATCTTCAGTTAAAAACTAGAAAGAAGCTTTCTGAGAAAGAGCTTCGTGATGTGTGCATTCATCTCACAGAGTTAAACCTCTCTTTTCATTAAGTAGTTTGGAAACATTTTTTTTTTTATATTTTGTGAAGGGGTATTTTGTAGAGGATTGAGGCCAGTGGTGAAAAAGGAAATATCTTCAGATTAATACTAGAAAGAAGCTTTCTGAAAAACTGCTTTATGATGTATGCACCCATCTCACAGAGTTAAACCTTTCTTTTTGTTGAGCAGTCTGGAAACACTGTTTTTCTGAAATCTGTGAAGGAATATTTGGGAACTCATTAAGGCCTACGGTATAAAAGGACGTATTTTCAAATAGAAAGTAGAAAGAAGCTTTCTGTGAAACTGCTTTGTGATGTGTGCATTCACCTGAGAGAGATAATCCCTTCTTTTGATCGAGTAGTTTGGAAATACGGTTTTGTATAATCTGCGAGGGATAGTTGGGAGTGCATTGAGGCCCAGTGTAAAATAAGGAAATTCCTTCAGAGAAAAACTATAAAGAAGTTTCCTGAGAAACTACTTTGTGATTTGTGCATTCATCTTACAGAGTTAAACCTATCTTTTGATTGAGCACTTTGGAAGCACTGTTTTTGTTGAATCTGTGAAGTGATATTTGGGAGTGCATTTAGGCCTATGCCGAAAAAAGAAATATCTCCAGATAAAAACTAGAAAGAAGCTTTCTAAGAAAATGCTTTGCAATGTGTGCATTCGTCTCACAGAGTTAAAGCTATCTTTTGATTGAGCAGTTTGGAAACACCGTTTTTGTAGAATCTGTGAAGAGATATTTCAGATGGCATTGGGTCCTATGGTGAAAAAGGAAACATCTTCAGATAAAAACTAGGAAGAAGCTTTCTGAGGAACTGTTTTGTGAAGTGTGCATTCATTGCACAGAGATAAACCTGTCTTTAGATTGAGAGGTTTGGAAAAACTGTTTTTGTAGAATCTGCAAAATGATATTTGGGAACGCCTTGAGTCCTATGGTGAAAAAGAAAATGTCTTCAAATAAAAACATGAAAGAAGCTCTTTCAGACATTTTTTTTTTTTGGTAAGTGCATTCATCCCACAGAGTGAAACCTGACTTTTGATTCAGCAATTTGGAAACACTATTTTTGTCCATTTTGCAAAAGCAATTTTTGGAGCTCATTTAGGCTAATGGTGAAAAAGTGAATATATCATTATACAAACTAGAAGGAAGTTATCTGAGAAACTGCTTTGTGATGTGTGAATTCATCTCACAGAATTAAACCTTTCTTTCCTTTCAGCAGTTTGGAAACAGTGTTTATGTAGAAACTGTAAAGGGATATTTGGAAGTGCATCGAGGCCTATGTTGAAAAAGAAAACATGATCAGATAAAAACTAGAAAGAAGCTTTCTGAGAAACTGCTATTCCAAATGGGCACATTCCAAATGGGCACTCATCTCACAGAGTTAAAACTTTCTTTTGATTCAGAAGATTGAAAACATTTTTTTTCTCCATTCTGCAAATTGATATTTGGGAGCTCTTTGAGTCCAATGGCAAAAAAGTGAATATCCCAGGATAAAAACTAGAAGGAAAATCTCTGAGAAACCCTCTGTGATGTGTGCATCCACCTAGTACAGTTTTACCTTTCTTTTCATTCAGCAGTTTGGAAAGACTATCTTTGTAGAATCTGTGAAGGGATATTTGGGAGTGCATTAATATCTTCAATGTAAAAGTAAACAATCAGATGGAAACAAAGAGAAGCTTTCAGAGAAACTGATATGTGATGTGTTGCATTCACCTTACAGAGTTAAAAGTTTCTATTGATGGTGCAGTTCGTAAACACTCTTTGTATGTAAACTGCGAAGGGACATTTAGGAGTGCATTGAGGCCCACAGTGAAAAAGGAAATATCTTCACATAAAGACTGGGGAGAAGCTTTCTGAGAAACTGCTTTGAGACTTGAGCAGTCATCTCACAGAGTTAAACCTTTCCTTTGGTGGTGCAGTTTGGAAACACGGTTTCGTACAATCTGCAAACGGATATTTGGGAGCACTTTGAGGCCTATGGTTAAAAAGGAAATATCTTCAGAGAAAAACTAGAATGAAGTTTTCTGAGAAAATGCATTGTGATGTGTGCATTCAACTCACAGAGTTAAACCCTTCATTTGGTTAAGCAGTTTGGAAATACTGTTTATGTAGAATATGCGAAGGGATATTTGGGAGTGCATTCAGACCTATGGTGAAAAATTCAATATCCTCAGATAAAAATCAGAAAGAAGCTTTCTGAGAAACTGCTTTGTGATATATGCATTCATCTCTCTGATGTAAACCATTTTATTGGTTGAGCAGTTTGGAAACACTGTTTTTGTAGAATATGCAAAGGGATATTTGGGAGCACAGTGAGGCCTATGGTGCAAAAGGAAATATCTTCAGATAAAAACTAGAAAGAAGCTTTCTGAGAAACTGCTTTGTGATGTGTGTCTTCATCTCACAGAGTTCAATCTTTCTTTTCATTGAGCAGTTTAGGAAAAACTGTTTCAATAGAATGTGTGAATGGATATTTGTGAGCC